>NC_000006.12:64125533-64428564 GCF_000001405.40 Homo sapiens | reverse complement strand
CACTGATTACTCGTGTCCTTCAATTTTACCTGAAATATGTCTTGTTTTTGATGATGTTTTTTACTCTAACCTGATAAGAGAGGTTCTAGTATAAATGACCTACAGTTAAAATTTCTACTTAAATCTTTCTGCTGCATATGATTCACTTGACTCAGCTGTAATTCTAGCTTGCCTCATTTTTCTCTTATCTTTGCCAAGAGGTCAACTGTCTCCTATGCTAATACAAACAGTTTGAAAACAAACTGAAAGTGGATAGTTTATAATTTTAGTATTTCATATAAGAAAACAGAGATGAAAAAATATTCTTGCTAAAAAATAAAACAAGGTTATATTAACCACAGTTTCAGAAAGCCTTCCTGTGAGATATTTCAGTGTAAATATAAAAATAAAGATTATGGTTATCTTATTAAGAGAAACTTGCAATATTGAAGGCAATTGTTGAGTGATAAATTTTAATTCTCATTAACTTGTATTATGATCCAGTTGAGTGCATTTTGAAATGCTAGATACATAATACTTTGAATTTAAGTCTTTAAAATGTTTCTTGTAGATCACCATAGTGTAATTAGTTTACTGAATCAATAGATGTCAGAAAATTCAAATGTTGAAAGTCAGTTGTGTTATGGGAGGTAAACTCACTTTTGAGAAACATTTAGAATAATCATTATTTCAGAAAATTAATGCTTAATTCAAGTCATTTTACAAATACTATCAAATTCCTTTCAGTTTGAAAAGAACATATCCTACTTCATTGTGTTACTTCTTAAGTTTTTTCTATTAATGAAAAGTTATTTTGTGAAAAGGAATTCTGAAGTATACATAATGGTTGCTTTCATGTGCTTTCTCATTCTATGTTCATTTAGATGACTTCAGAATCAAAAGTCAAGCCTATATTTGCTTCCTTCAGTTGTATATTATCAGGGTTACAATACCTAATATATTTTTGTTTACATCAAATCTTCTCAAAAAGGATAGTCAAATATCTTTTTGTTATATGGCCTTTTTTAATATATAATGAGAGCATATTGAAGGTAGCAAGCTTCAAGTTAAATCAATACAACAATAGGAAAGTTAAGTTTCAAAGCATTCTAATTAGGAAGTATGGAACACTTCCAAAAGGGTCTTCACAGTTAATTGACTAGAGCCTACATGGAATAATGCAGTCTGTATATCATTTAGCTTATATACATCAGTCTCTCCCCAAGTTGACATTCTCTATAGTTGTTGGTTACCTGCTGCTTTGGTGTACTCTCTGTTATGACCTTGCATGTTGCTTTAATTGTTAAAGCCTCATTGATCACTGCATGTCAATAAAAATGAATACATTAAGTCCATATCCACAGATTCTCTAGCAGAATACTTCTAGGAACCACTGAAATGTAAATTCCTAGATAATCCTGTCAGATGTATTTATTTTTTAAGGGAACTAACCATTAATGACTAATTATCATGCTAACTGCAATAAAACACAGTGCTAATGAAATTTGCCCAAATTTAAGCTAAAAGAAAAATTGATCTAGTTATTTTTCACTTGATAGCCAAAAAGCTGAGAAACAATGATCTAGTTTTTTTTTAGAAAAAGCTTTGCAAGATTTTCATATCATTTGAAACAATGCAATAATATTATGCAAAATGGTTCTCATATATAATTGACTAAAAAATAACTAGAAATAGTGATTCTGTAATTACCAGAAACAGAATAATTCTTAAAAAGTCAGAGTTCAGCATAGCTGGAGACTTCCATTTGAAAACTGTGGCTAATCATGGCATGATAAGTTGCTTATAGAAGTTTAGAACAGAATGGTCACATATCTGAAGGACAGGGTTTAAGAGAAATAGTTTATCCCTCTTGCTACTGGGAGGACTTGATCCAATTCTATCCAAAGCCAACCCCTCTGCCAACCGCTAGACTCCATCCTTTTTCACATTTTCAAGGACTTCTCTTCTTCAGGATCACCTTTATTTTCTTGTATTATCCATCTTTTTCTCTCTGCTGAACCATTTCCAAAAAAAAGAAAAAAAAAGGCTTTAAAATTTCTCAGCTGCAACACAGCACCTCTCGAGATCTTATATTACTTTGATTCTGTTCCTCTTCAAAGTCAACATGTCAAAAGTTTGCCACACATGAGATTTTGATTTTGTTACTTGTTCTTTACTATTCAGTCCTATCCAATCTGGTATCCATGTTCCCACAACTGACACAGCTTTTGTTACTGTCACCTGTGAGTAGAGAATTTTGTCATTCAAACTGATAAATATTTAAAAATAAAAAAGAGTGTTGTTAGTTATGACTCTGGGACAACATGTACAAACAGAAATTATTCTAAGCAGTGTGAGACAATGGTCACTCTATACGACCTTCATGTTGACAAAGCCAATTTTCTGTCTCCATTGTACTAAGCATTTTAGTGAATACACTCTATCTTCTTGAAGTAATTTTCTATGTCTGCTTCAAAAAGAGTAAGTTGTTGGTGTTTCTCCTATCTCGGTGACCAATTATTTTTTCTCTTTTTATGCCTGTTCCAGCATAGAACTTTCTTATGAATTCTAGACTCATCTATCTAAACACCTACCTAATATTTTCTCTTGTATGCCTCATCTGTATCTTAAATTTAACATATCCAAAATACAATTCCTGGTCTCCTACTCCTAACATCGCTTCTCTACTTTCCATTCCTTCCTTCCTTCCCCATTCACACATCCCTCCATGGCCTTTCCTGTCTCAGCAAATAACACTATTGTCTACCTATATAATGAAAGTCATTTTTTACTCATCAGTTTGCTCTTTATATTCAAGCCTTTTCAGAAAGTCCTTTTCAACATTTCGTCTTACATCTACTTATTTTTTCTCTGTCACCTCTGAAACCATTCTGGTCAAAGCTTCCTTTTTTTTTTTTTTTTTTTTTTCCTGGGATGGAGTTTTACTCTTGTTGCCCAGGCTGGAGTGCAATGGCGTGATCTCAGCTGACTGCAACTTCCGACTCCCAGGTTCAAGCGATTCTCCTGCCTGAGCCTCTCAAGTAGCTGGGATTACAGGCAGACACCACCACACCCGGCTAATTTTGGATTTTTAGTAGAGACAGGGTTTTGCCATGTGGGCCAGTCTGGTCTCAAACTCTTGACCTTGGGTGATCCTCCCGCCTCGGCCTCCCAAAGTGCTGGGATTACAGGCGTGAGCCACCACACCTGGCTGCTTCCATCATTTTTTTATTTGGGCTCTGGCAGTTCTCTCTTGCCTGCTTCTCAACATTGTAGCCACTATGGCCAGGGTGTTTTTTAAAAAAACATATTACATCAAATCACTTCCCTGTTTGAAGGTTCTTCATTGGCTTACTTGTACTCTGAAAATAAAATCCAGACTTCTTGTCATTGCCAACAAGACCCTGCATGGTTGTGTTCCTGCCTGTGTTCCTCGACCTCACCCAATACCTGACTTCCTCCCTCTCACACGCTGCATTCACTTTGACATTCCATTACTTCTAGGACTCTCTGAAATGCTTTTTACCCCAGAGCCCTTAATCTCACTGCTTCTTCCAACTGGAATAATGTGTCGTTTTCAGTATTTTTCTCTTCTGTTCCCACATTGGTTCCGTGTGGCCTCTTCCTCCTTCTTCAAATTTTAGGTTAAAAGTCATCTCTAGAGGTAAATCCTCCTTAACTGTTCTGTCTAAAATTTTTCCTCTCAAGTTATCTGTTATAGCACCTACTTTCATTTTATATTTACTTGTTTTACTCATTGATTTTCTATATTCCTAACCAGACTGTAAGCTTCATGTGTTCAGGGATTTCTCTGTCTTCTTCCCGGTTGAATACACACCTGGCACCTAGCGTGTAACTGGGGCATAACTTGTTGATTAATAAATAAATGTTAAATAATGAATGAAAGGCAGGGATGAAACTTGATTTGAGATTCAACGGTGGGCAGGTGTTGGAGAGGAGAGAAAATTAGCACGGGAAGAAATGCAATCTTAGAGTGAGCCACATCTGTTGTCTTAAAAACACGCAGGGTTTGCAGTGAAATAAAGCAGATGCAGTTTGGTGCAGCCATAAAAATCAGAAGTTCTGTTTCAGTAGGGTCGCTAGGCTGTCTAACTGCTTAGACTTAGTCACAAATATTTTTTTCTCCAGAGTTGCATGAAATTATTTGCATGCTCACAATAACCTGGGTAAAAATCTGGTACATCATAGGTATTAAATAAAATATTGATAATAAAATATCAGTGTTTTAAATGAGTCCTCCTTCTTTCTCAAATATCTTAAAATATTTTCTGTTTTTAAACAGATGCCTATGAAGTTTACTGGATGTTTTATATCTGTGTGCATATTTTATGTAGGTCGTAAACTGTCAAAAATATGAAAACGGGGGTTGATTTAGCTGAGTTATCACTACTGTGGTTATTTTAAATAGATAAAATCATTAACTCAACTTTTGAGTCAAACTTTATATCATAATATTTTATAGTTGAAGAATATGTTATGTTAATTATTGAAGAACTTTCTCACTAAAATGGAAACTTAATTTTATTCAAATGGTTGAAAATTTTAGGATAGCATTTAAAAGGGAATGCAAAATGAAAGGTTAAGTGCTAAAATAAACATTTTCTTCCAAGAAATGTTAGCATTTAAAATAATCAAAAGTGATTGTGTTCATATTAAGTTTATATACAAGCAACTTAAGTAACGTGACCCATTCAGAATTATATAAAGCTTGCCATTGGTGATCTCATTGGCAACTCTAAAGAATTTTTTTTTCCCCCATGATGGAGTCTTGCTCTGTCGTCCAGGCTGGAGTGCAGTGGCATGATCTCGGCTCACTGCAACCTCTGCCTTCCGAGTTCAAGCAATTCTCCTGCCTCTGCCTCCTGAGTAGCTGGGATTACAGGCACACGCCACCACGCCTGGCTAATTTTTGTATTCTTAATAGAGTCAGGGTTTCACCATGTTAGCTAGGCTGGTCTGGAACTCTTGACCTTGTGATCCGCCTGCTTTGGCCAAGAATTTGGTTTCTTAACATACCTGTGAAAGGAAAGCGATTCCTCTGTTGGTATTGTATCACCTCAAGAGGCATGACGATTCTATAATGTTAGGAAACACTACCTACTACATGTCTGTCAGTAATTAGAACTAATTAGAAACATTGTGTATATTTCAATTTGAATATACTAAACTTATAGTTAAAATGTTTAGCTGGCTGAATTTGAAATGGACATTGATTTTACAACTAGGAAATTAAATTGCTTAATGGTCTAGGTTTGATGGTTTCAAATTAATCTGTATAGCATGTGACATCTTACTTGAAATGAAAGTGGTTATACAATTGAATTGACTTCCTTTCCAATAAGTTTTCATATCAATAATTGTTAATCCATGAAGAGAAAATACTCTAAAATTAAAATCTGAGTACTTTGAGAGTGAAAACTTCACTTATTCTTTTTTATATTCTCAAGATCTAACAAAATGCTTTGCAGAAAAATCAGTAAATCCTTACTGAGTGATTGATTGAATGAATGAATAAATGAATTAAATATTTACAAAACAGGCATTCAACATTTTCAAAACAAAATTATCTAAAAGAAAAACCAAAAAATAAAAAAGAAAGTATTTTATATGCCTATAGTCCTAATAGACATGTATTACATTTTAAAAGACAGTTATAAAATGTTATCTATATAAAATGAACTATTTATTATGCACATTATTATTCTGAAGGAAAAATCTACACTACAAATGAAAGTAATGAATACTCTCAGATACACTTGTAAGGTGACAGGAATATTAAACCAAGTGGTAGCACAAGATTAACATAGACATTATGCTCATAATAATTAACCTCTCACTCCATCGTTCTAAGAACAATTAAGACCAAATGTATTAATAGGTTCTATTACACTAATGTGATAATAATAATCATGTGAAGATTACTTCTGAGACTCTTCTAATAAAAAAAGCAAAACAGGATTCAAAGATAACACTAAGAAAATATTTTTATACTCAACCTATTGAGGCTTCACAACAGAAAGTTCCATGTTTCCTCCCTGAGGCATCCCAGCCATTCCAATTGACCAAGTACCATAAGGTTTTAAAGTACGAAGGTCCTCAGCAGATTTAGAATAGCAATATGACCTAACAACCCTTGTCCACCATTGCCCTTATTTCTTGCTACAAAGTAGAACATACATGCTTATCCATATTCCAAGAGGGATAGGCCCTTGGCTTGTCTGTATCCCTTTCAGCACTGCACAGATGCCCCACACTTATTTGCCTAATGGAATGAGGCAATTGAGTGACTGTTCTCAAAACAAAGAAGGTAACATGTTTCGAGTAACATGAAGTCTTCCCTTCAATGGGCACCCTTTAAATGTCTTTATTAGAAAAAAAAAGTCTATCTGTCTGTCATCTATCTGTCTATCTATCATCTGTCTATCAATCTATCGATCTATCTATCTGTCAATCATCTAGCTCAGCACTATTGATACTGGGGCTAGATAATTATTTGTTGTAAGGTGCTGTCCTTTGTATTGTAGGATGTTTAGCTGCAACTCTGGATTCTACCCCTTCCCTCACTTGGGAGGAGCCAAAATCGTTCCAGTTGTTGTGAAATGTTTCTTGATGGGGAGGATGGAGAGGGCAAAAATCACAATCCCTGTTTGAGAACCACTGATCTACACACACACACACACACACACACACACACACACACACACCCCCCAAACAAAAAAATGCGCTCTCTCTCTCTCGCTCTCTCTCTCTTCTTCGCTCCCTCCCTGAAATATTTGAAAACACTAATCAGCAGTTTCCAAGTTATTACAAAAGATTGGTGATTATTTTTATTTTTGTATCCTAGTTTTGAGAAAGAGAAAAAGAGCAAGCTCTTAATCTGTGCATTTTGATTTTTTAGAAGAGTAACTAGCATACTGATTGTGTTTAGCATTTAGGAAGTGGATTATCTTTAAATGATTCATGAGCCAAAGATAAATTGTTACTTGTCAGCCTGACCTTACTAGAAGAATGTATTTAATTAAAAAAAATTCCCTAGATATGAAAGACAAAATTAACATTTATTTCTGCTTGATAATTTAAGAGTTATACTAATGAGAAATGACATCATCCTAAATTGCCCTCCCCTTCAACCATAGCCACTGATATGATTTGGCTTTGTCCCCACCCAAATCTCATCTTGAATTTTAGGTCTCATAATCCCCACGTTCATGGGAGGGAGCCAGTAGGAGGTGATTGAATCACAGGGACAGTTTCTTCCAAGCTATTTTTATGATATTAAGTTCTCATGAGATCTGAGGGTTTTTTTAAGGGGCTTCCCCTTTTGCACTGCTCTCGTTCTTCTCCTTCCTGCTGCCATGTGAAGAAGGACATGTTTACTTCCCCTCCCACCATGATTTTAAGTTTCTTGTGGCCTCCCCAGCCATGCTGAACTGTGAGTTAATTAAACCTCTTTCATTTATAAATACTCAGTCTCAGGTATGTCTTTATTAGCAGTGTGAGAATGGACTAATACAGTATATTGGTACCACAGAGAGTGAGGTGCTGCTGTAAAGATACCTGAAAATGTGGAAGCGACTTTGAAGCTGAGTAACAGGGAGAGGGTGAAATAGTTTGGAGGGTTCAGAAGAAGAAAGAAAAATGTGGGAAAGTTTGGAACTTCCTAGAGACTTGTTGAATAGCTTTGACCAAAATGCTGATGGTGAAACGAACAAGGAAGTCCAGGCTGAGGTGGTCTCAGATGGAGAGGAAGAACTTATTGGGAACGGGAATAAAGGTGATTCTTGCTATGCTTTATCAAGGAGACTGGCAGCATTTTGTCCCTACCCAAGAGATCTGTGGAACTTTAAACATGAGAGAGATGATTTAGGGTATCTGGCAGAAGAAATTTCTAAGTGGCAAGGCATTCAAGAGGAAGCAGGGCATAAAAGTTTGAAAACTTTGCAGCCTGATGATGCAGCCTTTGATGCCCAAAGTCACAAAATACAGCTCTAGCTGTGGCTTCAGAGGGTGTAAGCTCCAAATCTTGGCAGTTTCCATATGGTGTTGAGCCTGTGGATGCACAGAAGTTAATAGAAAACCAAAACCCATTTTCTGGGGAGAAATTCAAGCCTGCTACAGAAATTTGCATAAGTAACAAGGAGCTGAATGTTAATCACCAAGACAATGGGGAAAATATCTCCAGGGCATGTCAGAGACCTTCACAGCAGGTCCTCCCAACACAGGCTCAGAGACCTAAGAGGAAAATATGGTTCATAGGCCAGGCCCAGGCTCCCCCGGCTGTATGCAGCCTAGGGAATTGGTGCCTTGCATTCCAGCCACTGTAGCGGTGGCTCAAAGTCACATGGTACAGTTCTGGCTGTGGCTTCAGAGGGTGTAAGCCCCAGGTCTTGGCAGTTTCCACATGGTGTTGAGCCTGTGGATACACAGAAGTCGAGAACTGAGGTTTGGGGAGCTCTGCCTAGATTTCAGAGGTATGAAATCTAGGTGTGAAATCTTTCATACCTCCACCAGGTATGGAAATGCCTGGATGTCTAGGCAGAAGTTTGCTTCAGGGGCAGAGCCCTCATGGAGAACCTCTGCTAGGGCAGTGCAGAAGGGAAATGTGGGGTCAAAGACCCCGCACAGAATCCCCACTTGGGCACTGTCTAGTGGAGCTGTGAGAAGAAAGACACTGTTCTCCAGACCCCAGAATGGTAGACCCACCAACAACATGCACTGTGTGCCTGGAAAAGCCACAGACATTCAACACCAGCCCCTGAAAGCAGCCAGGAGGGGATGCTGTACCCTGCAAAGCCACAGGGGCAGTGCTGCCCAAGGCTGTGGGAGCTCACCTCTTGCATCAGTGTGACTCAGATGTGAGACATGGCTTCAAAGGAGATCATTTCAGAACTTTAAGGTTTAATGACTGCCCTGTTGGATTTTGGACTTTGTTCTGGTAGGCCAATTTCTCCCAGTTGGAGCAAGTGTATTTACCCAGTCCCTTTACCGCCATTTTATCTAGGAAGTAACTAACTTTCTTTTGATTTTATAGGCTCATAGGCAGAAGCAACTTGCCTTGTCTCAGATGAGACTTTGGATTTGGACTTTTAGGTTAATGCTGGAATGAGCTAAGACTTTGAGGGACTGTTGGAAAGGCATAATTGAGTTTTGAAATGTGAGGACATGAGATTTGGGAGGGGCCCGGGATAGAATGATATGATTTGGCTGTGTCCTCACCCAAATCTCATCTTAAATTGTAGTTCCCATAATTCTCACTTGGTGGAGGGAACCCCATGGGAGGTAATTGAATCATGGAGGTGGTTTCCCTCATGCTATTCTCATGATAGCCATGCTAAACTGTGAGTCAGTTAAACTTTTTTCCTTTATAAATTACCCAGTCTTGGGTATCTCTTTATTAGCAGCACGAGAATGGACTAATATAGCTACTTATGATCGTCTATAGAGAGGATTTGTGGGGAACTAGCCAGGATGAAATTTTGAGGAACTCAGATGGGAGCCATAGCGAATATTTAAATTGTAGTCAGAGTCAGGGCTGTTCTATTTGATCTTGCATTTTTCCAGTTCAGCTGACACCCTGGCACCCCCACAGTACTCCAGACATTTCTGGAAGCAGAAACCTGGTGAATATTAACCACCGTTCACAAAGCATCCTTAATACCACAGCATACCTCACCTTTTCTCAGGGACTGTGTGATCAAATCACAATATAAATCTAACTTGAAACCAAAGTCGGGAATAGAGTGGAGGAGCATGACTCTGGTGAAACTTACTCTTTTTTTTTTCCATGGGACAGAACCTTCCCTCAATTATAGTCATATATTCCAATTGCAGCATACAGGAATCTCTGCCAATAACTCAGGTATGCAAGACATATAATTTTATTTTCTACATCTCAACTTAATTTACATTTCTAGTCCCCATTCTGATGAGATAACAGAAAATCAATTTCAGTCAATGAGAGTTTCCTTCTCTCTCCCTGTGATTTTATGACAGTGCCAAGGCATAGATGGTGCAGGTAATCACGTAGATATTAATGTGATCTGATCACACTGGTCTCTGGTGAAATAGACCTATTTTGCCTGGTTTTCTCATTCGAACACACAGAGGGCAGAACACAGGAAAGACTCCTTTAGACTTAAAGGCAAGAAAAAACTCACTTTAGTGCTTTCTGCCCTATAAGAAATAGCATAGAACTGGTTATTAGAAAATAAAAAGGTTGTGATTTTCCAAAGTATTACTCTGAAGCTTCTTAAGATACATACTTTAATATGTATCAAGTGTATTCAATCATGAAGAACTAAATAGCCATACCACAAATTTGCAGAGAGTTATTTTTTTTTAAACAAGGTGTTACGTAGATAGCTACAGTATGAAATAATTAAAGGATAGCCTCTTCTGTTTGAGACCTGGATTGGAGATAATAGGAAGAGTTGGGTAGGGAACTATTAGCCCCACCCTGTGGTTTCCCTGTCTCCCCTAAAATTTCTCCTATGTCACCACTCTGGAATCTAAACAATCATATGAAAACATTTTTGAAAAACATTGTTGTGTTATAAATATTTTAATTTGAATAATATTAATAGCAAGACCGTAGGCCAGGCGCAGTGGCTCGTGCCTGTAATCCCAGCATTTTGGGAGGCCAATGCAGGTGGATCCCTTGAGGTCTGGAGTTCAAGACTAGCCTGGCCTATATGGTGAAACCCATCTCCACTAAAGATACAAAACAATTAGCCAGGCTTGGTGGTGTGCACCTGTAGTGCCAGCTACTTGGGAGGCTGAGGCAGAAGAATCTCTTGAACCCAGGAGGCCGAGGTTGCAGTGAGCCAAGATTGTGCCACTGCGCTCCAGCCTGGGCAACACAGTGAGACGCTGTCAAAAAAAAAAAAAAAAAAAGCCAACCCTTACAGGTAAGAATATGCATTATTTGCTAGAGTTGAAAAACTAGATTTTTAAAATATTATTCCTGAAATAATAACTAGTATGCAACTAAATAAAAAAAATTCTTCCTGAATGTCACTGCTTTATAATTGTCAGAAACTTGTCATTATTCAATGCAATCTAATTCACCACCAACAATATGTATCTAAATGGTCTATTTTGATAAGGTATAAATGGTTTTCACTTTTTAAGAGAGGAAGTAAAGCATACCAATTAAAACAAGTTTCTGGAAACAAGCAAATTAAAAGCAAATTCTAGCACTGCTACCCATTGTAAACCCCTGTACCTGTTACCAAAGAACTCAGAACCTTAAATCTCTCATTTGTTAAATGCAGGTAATAATAATACCTGCTGCAGAGGGTAATTTTTCATATAGTATAAGGTACTACATATGCCTTGCATACAGAAAGTGCTCAATAAATGTTTGTAATTGTTTTTACTCTTGAGCATTTTAAAATTACAAATATATGTGTATAGCTTTTCACTGTAATGTATAAAAGCTCTAATTATCATACCACTGTGTCCAGGACCATGAAGTAATGGTTCAGTCAACATTATGTCATTATTATTGCAGTACCGTACAATGTTGTCTTGAAAAGAATGAGTTCTTGAGTTGGACAACCAGAGTTCTACTACCACCATCACTTGCTGTGCAATTTGGGTCAAGTCCCACAACTTCTCAGTTTTCCTGGGTTTACTGAGGATCAGAAAAGCTAAAATAGGTGAAACCATTTAGTATCACTTAATAAATGTTAGCTAATAAGATTATTATTAGGTTATCAACATTGATAATTTTTTGTTATGTATCATTATCTTTTACCTAAGGACAGCCATATTATGCTGAGTAATATTTGGAAAATTTACCCAAGTGCCTGGATGGAACTTAGAAAATTTTACTAAGATGTACCATTAATGTCTCAAAAAAGTTCAAAATAAAAATGCAGAAATAAAGTTAAACCTCCAATTTCTTAGCACTTAGCTATGGTGAGTGATAAACATTAAGTACTTATGAAGTTTTGCCTAATGAATAAATGAATGAATTAAGTGTGAATAAATGAGTTAATATAAGGAAGACAAAACAAACCAGAGGAAAAGAAAAAAAAAAAAAGACCTAACGGCTTATAAAGAACTCATAAAACTCATGCAGAGATGCATTCACATACACTAAAATATGGAATAATTTTAATAAGCTCAGAAATTGAGTGGTTTACTGCTGCTCTTGTTAATTTGGCATAAGCTCAGCTGCCATAGATGAGACTAGAAAATGAAGATTTGATAACACCAGGATGAGAATTACTTTAAGCATCAGAATTTTATATCTGAGTTTAGGTTCTTATTCTTTTTGATTATAAATGTAGAAAAAGGGATTTGACTTTGAAAGTACTTGCTAAGTAATGATCATACAAGCAAAAACACAAATTCCAGGAACTGAGCCAGGCTATGATTTCTTCTGTCCCTGGAGTGCTTTATTTAAGGAAGCCATTGATTTCTGCCACTACTCTGAAGAAATTCATGTGCGAAGGTAGCCAAAAAATCTGCCTCCAATTCAGTTTTCTAGGATCCTTTCCAAGGAGAGACCAACTTCTTTTGGAATAGCACACGAGCAGCTTTGCTGAAAGTAGCCTTTTATACATTAAGCTCAGTTTTTGTCCAATATGTTAAAAAGGAAAGACAAAACTCTCTGTGATAGTTTCTATAAAGCTTAGAAACTTCAGCTTGCTTTATTTTAATATTTAGGAGAAAGAGAAATACTACTATAATCAAATGAAGTTTTTCCAAAGGGAATACAACAGCTTACCATTTGTCTGAGGCTTGAGAGCATTTCCTTACGAGATGCTAAAGTGCAATTAAAAACATCTAGCTTTATGCCTTATGATTTGAAGAACACTGCAAAATCACTAGCAATTTTTATTGAGTAAGCATACTTTCAAAATAGGTCAATAAAAAATCCCACACTTTGCAGCTTAAAATAATGGAACATATGAACTTCTCCCAGTAACTGAAGCATTTACTCTTAATGCATATGGACAGAACATTGTACCCTCAGAATGGGCCTCAGACTCATTCATAACACATCCAAGAGCAATGTGATACAGGCAGAGCATGCTTGATGTTCTCACCAAGAGTAATTCTCTATTAGGACAGAGAGAATGTAAACCATGATGACATTTAGTCTCAAATAAACATGGCCAGTGATGCCATGACTGGGAAGCTACATAGATGCAGTTTGAATAAAACATTTATTGTTTTTTAGAGCATCACAAAAAGCAGAATTGAAAATACAGGGGTGCCATGTGACCTTGTGGAACTTGTGCTTTCTGTGTCCAAAGACATAAGGCCTATGTTGTTGTTTGAAATGAATTTACCTATAGTTACATGAAAAACACCTGTGTGGCTCTCAGTGTACTTCAAACACCACCAAGGTTGCCACCAGATGCTAAAGGTGCTACAATCCATTTAGTGTAGTTGTTGGTTGGCAACACCCAGAATTTTTTCTTCGCCAGTGTGGTTCTTCTAGTCACATATTGCCTATTCTTGTGTTTGTGTTCATACAACTATTGTGTTTGTTGCATTTTTGCACTGGATTTTATATCAAAGTCATCTGTAATTTTATTAGAAAATTAGAGAGAGACATACTCATCCTCTCCAAATCCTACTTTATTTCAAAGGTAATTACCTATATATTTTCAGGAGTTTCTTCTGTATCTCAATATTCATACTTCCAAGTAAAAAGTGTGTTTTACTATTTTTATGTATTCATTTCCAAAATTATCACTGACTTTTTGTTATGAAGAATGAGGATTTACCTATCTTACATCAACCCTGATTGTTTTGCTTGATCATCCCCAAAATTAGGTCCATTGTTTGAAAAGCAACGGGCAAAGTATAAACCATTATAAATGGCATATGCTGATGTTTGGCACAGCCAAGTATTATACTACAGTGAGCTTTCCTTTTCTTATAACCTCACCACCCTCTGCCCAGTAAATAATGTCCTTGTTTATTATTTGCATAATTTTATTATGCTTATCTTTTTTTAACTCTTCATGAGATTTACTTTATGGCTCCTAGCAATGAAACTTCACTTTGCTATTCTTCTATGTTTGGCCAAATGGTTATTGAATGTCTTATTTTCTCTTACTTATTTTGTTTCATTTGTCTGATATAAGATGCTGGAACATAGTATATATTAGGTTTTTGAATCAAGGCTGCCTGGAAAGTGACAATCTTGCCACATCTTTATGTATATCTAGATGTTCTACCCTCAAACTTAATTTTACACAAATTTATACACAAAACGTGAACCATTTCCCTCAGAATTTTGAAGGCATGGCTCCATTGATTTCTAGCATCCTGTGTTCCTATGAAATATCTAATAACTTTCAGATATTTATTTGTATATGATATCTTTTAATTTCTCTTCATTTCTCAGGAAACTTTTAAGGTTTCTTCTCTATTTTTAGTCTCCTGAAATTTCACAAAGTTGTACAATCTTACTTCATTTTGGCTGCTGTAACAAAATACTATGAACTGGGTAGCTTATAAATAACAGAAAATGAATTGTCACAGTTCTGAAGGCTAGGAAGTACATGATCTAGGAACCAGCTGATTCAGTCATTGGTAAGGGCAAAATTCCTGGTTCAGAGATGACGCCTTCTCATAGTGTCCTTATGTGGTGGAGAAGGTGAATGGTCTCTCTCAGACTTTTCTTCTAAAGGCACTAATCTTATTCATGAGGAATCTGCCTCCATGACCTAACCACCTCTCAAACATGTCACATCCTAATACCATCAACTTGGGCGTTAGGATTTCAACATATGAATTTGGGAAGACACAAATATTTAGACCATAGCATGTACTTAGTGTTTTTCTTTTATCTTTCACTCTGCTGGATTCCCATAAGCCTTTGTGGCATGGTACAGCAGTACTAGTATCTTAGTCCCTTAAATTATTTCATTGATTTTCTATATTTTTATCTTTTGTCCTAACCTTTACGATATTTTCTGTACTTTGTGTTCTTCCTGATACTGTTTTTTTTTGGGAGGGGAGGTTTTTTTTTGGGTTTTTGTTGTTGTTGTTGTTGTTGTTGTTGTTGTTGTTTGGACAAGAATAGCCTTCTGTTTTCTCCCTGAGGATATTATTCAATTACAGTTTTTTGAAGATTTTGTCTGTTCTCTGATGTATCAATCATGGTCCCAGATGGAGACAAATACATTTATACTCAAAGGGCTTAAACAGAGTTTAATGAAAAGATAATTTATAGATGTTTGGACATTGGCAAGGGAAGCATCGGGAGACTAATGATGGCTGAGAAGCCATTACCAACTGCAGGCCTGAGAAGGAGGAAGTATGACCATAGCCTAGATCTTGGAGCTCTGTAGAAGGCACTATCTGACAGGAGTTTGGAGGGTGGAGAATCAGAACCACTGCCAAAACTATGGCAGAGTAGAGGGGATAAATATCTAATCTCCTTTAAGGGAGAGTGGGGAATATATGGCTGCACAAGGTGAGGAAGGGGAATTTACTTGCCCTGAACATAAGCTTCAACTAGTATCCATAGTTTTAATCCTGCTCCTTGCAGCCTGTATAGGAGTTTGGCCTTTTAGCAGTTTTGTGGAATAAGCTGGCTCTCTTCTACTAGTATCCTCCTCCACAGGCATGCATCATAAATTCGGCTAAATTAGTTAGCACTTCTCCATCCAAAATTTTGTCTCTATTTTTTTTTAACTTTACCATCCACTTATATACACGTGCATTTTGTATATCTTTGTGAATTTTTAGTTTGTTTTATTCATAGTAAAGAAAAAGAAAGTTGAATCTCACTAAGCAGAGGTGATAGAAGATAATTGCACATGTCTGATTCTTTATCTTTAAACAGAACTAGTAATACAATTAACTTTTGCGATAATATCCATTTGTGATATAGTGGCCATGCTAATTTCCACCAGAAGAATACAGTACATGCTTCACAGCTGACACACTTGAGGTTCCTCAGGAAAAGAGAGAAAAAAAATTTTTAAATGAGTATATTACTAGACATCAACTTTTACTATTTTTGAAAAACAAATTTGCCATTATTAACATCCTCAGCATCTCAAATGCCTTCTCCTTTTCTTCTATACTTATGCATCCTCCTATATATCTCTACCAACCCCAATATTCATCTGATATAATTAGGTAGACACAGCATTAGATAAATAAATACTAACAAAGACCTTTCAAGATCTCCTCAGTCTAAATTGCCTGAGTCCTCATTCTTCATTATTTGTTTGGGAACAATTGTTTTAAATAGGCTATTCACATTTTTTCTTTAAAACTTCTTACACTAGTTTGTCAAAGAATGATTAATTTTTGTGTGCTTTTAGTAAAATTTACCAAAATATTATTGATTGCAAAATATAAAACAAATATAAAATATTCTGTGGATATTAGAAAATTATGTATATTCTGTGTATAGGCAAAATTTTGATATATAGATTTTAATTACATTTTATTGGCCATATTTTTCAAATGTTCTATATTATTTATTTTTTCAGTTTATTTCATAATCTAGTAATGAAGTATTAAATTTCTAGGCTATATTTGGATATCAATTCATTCCTCTTGAATTCATAACAGATTTTACTAATACACATTTATCATTTTATATATACTTGTATATATATACATATATGCATGCATATATAAACATATATACATACATGCATGCATATATAAACATATATACATATATATGTGTATATATTACATACATATATACAAATATACATATATGCAAACATATATGTGTATCTCATATATGTGTATATTCATATACACTCGTAATCATAGCTCACTGCAGCCTCAAACTCCTAGGCTCAAGGAGGTCTCCTAAATCAGCCTCTTAAATAGCTAGGACTACAAGTGCAAGCCACCACACCTGGCTAGTTTTGAAATAAACTTTTGTATATTGGTAGGATCTCACTATGTTGTCCAGGCTGGTCTGGAACTCCTGGCCTCAAGTGATCATCCTGCCTCAGCCTCACAAAGTGCTGAGATTACAAGTTTGAGCCATGCCACTCAGCCTATTTTATATATTTAAACTGCTTTGTGACTTTTATAAATGTATGAGCCTAATTGTCTTATTTTCTGTTTTGAATTTTGATTGCTACTGAATGCTAATGCTTGACCTGATTTTTTGGATTCCATTTGTATGATCTAACTTTGCCAACTTACTTCTGAGTCATTGGTTCTCACATGTGTCTTTTATTTAATTCTCCAAATTTGAGAGACTTTAACCTAATTTCAATAATTTGTGTTCTGCTTGTTACTGTTTTATGTTTTATGGATTGTCAAGATTTTTCTCCTATATGGTGTTATATGATGCTGTATTGTAATCATTTTCTCTCTAACTTCTAATATAAACCATTATTTTATAATTTGTGAATGGTCAGGTTAATTTTTATATAAAATCTTCAATATATCATTAAATAGCTGTCATACTTAAAAATAGAACTATGGCTTTTCAACATCCCTTTAAGGAAGATTCAGTGTTTCTCTCCTGATTATCCCCACACATACACTTTGTAATGTGTAAAATCATTCATCTTGAGCTTCTAAAGACTTAAAACAGTCCACATTTTCTTAAAAGCTGATTAAACTTTATGCTGGTAGTTAAAACCAAGATTAAAATAAAGATTACTACCCAACTAAAAATTTTGAGTATCCAAAATTCTAATGTTTTTCACTCAGCATAAATGTTACAGATTTTGTCTGAGGAAAGAAAGTGTCCTTTAACAGTGCACAGAAAGTTTATCATCATAGTAGGTGAGAGTACATAGACACACAGTAAAAACCAATATATACACATCAGGGTGACCATGTAATATTTCAGTCAAGCCAATGTTCTGGCTAGAGTTGATGTGTTTTATTTGTCATATTACTCTAAAAGACAAAGACAGAATTTTTCATGTTTTATGAAAATATTATAAACATGCTTTCCTCACAAATACATACACACAACAATGAATTGGGCTTCTTAGATTTAAATATGACTGTGAAAGAAAGATAGAATGGCATTTGGAACCAGATAATAAAAAATATTTAGTTTTCATTTAAATCCAACTAAGATTGTCTTTCAATGGCAGTGATTATTAGCCATCTTTTCCCCTTAGAGACAGTTTCAATTCTTGCTTCAGTGGAAGTAAAAGGCTCATTGGACATGAAGATTCCCAATAGTGACAAGATAGCAATGCGACTCATTTTCAGTTAGTAAAACCTTGAAACTAGGTATAATAAAAATCATATTCAGTCTCAGATACTATTTTGAGGATTCACTCTCATTCCATGGTAAGAAAATATAATAAATCAGATTTTATTTTTAACTTGAGTTTCCATCAGCCATCAGGGAATGCTGCAGAACAGAATCTGACTGTTGGATGCAAAGATAAAATGTTAGCCAGGACCCTAAAATGTTGTGTTAATTCACAGACTCATGGGTCCTGCCTGGTTAAATGCCCTGAATCTCTTTTTTTATCTGCACTAACACAGTCCTATTAAATCTTAAGAGTCCATGAATGCCCTAATTTTTACAATTATAAATGCCCCAAGAGTAACTCGTCTGTGTTCCCCTCTACTGATAAGAATCACTAGTTACTTTTAAAGGTAGTGCTGGATTTTTTAAACCCAGGCTATATAAAATATAAACTTACCCCTAAATAAATTAATTTGTTTTCCCTCCTTTTGTCTCCCAAATAAATCCTCACTAAGAGCACTTTCATAGTACATGTCTTTAAAAAAATTTAGATTTATCAAAATGTGCATAAATGTACTTGAGACCCTATAGACCTATCAACATAAATTGATATATCAACAAATTACCATAGTGTGTGTTACTAGCTTCCCTGAACAAAAACCATGTATCTCTTACCTTTACTCAGGTTTCATTTTGCTTTCTACTTTCTGAAACAAGCCAATGCGCCCAAAATAATAAGAGCATTTTTTCAGATTCTAATAATCAACATATAAAATTGGTGAAGTTAGTTCAACCAAAGCCTCATGACCAGTGGCATGGTCTATTTGTGGCCATGTCTTGGTAAGAATTGCTTCGCATTTTGCTAGATTAAACTTCCAGCTCTTTGAATGGAAAGAAAAAGAAACAAAACTGTGTTATGCTCTCAAGGATCACCTTTTTCTATGTAGAAGCTCTTTAGTTTAATTTGATCCCACTTGTCAATTTTTGTTTTTGTTACAATTGCTTTTGGAGTCTGGCATGCCTGGTGACTTCTCAAAGAACTTAAAACAGAACTACCATTCAACCCAACAATCCCATTGCTGGGTATATACCTAACGGAATATAAATTGTTCTGCTATAAAAACACATGCAGTCATATGTGCATTGCAGTACTTTTTACAATAGAAAAGATATGGAATCAACCTAGATGCCCATTAATAGTGGACTGGATAAAGAAAGTGTGGTGCATATACACCATGGAATACTATGCAGCCATAAAAGGGAATGAAATCACATCCTTTTCAGTAACATAGATGCAGCTGGAGGCCATAATCCCAAGCAAATTAAAGTAAGAACAGAAAACCAAATACAACATGTTCTCACTTATAAGTGAGAGCTAAACAATGAGTACACTTGGAAACAAAAAGAACAATAAGCACAGGGCCTACTTGAAGGTTGAGAATGGGAAGAGGGTGTGAAGAATGAAAATCTTCCTATTGGTTTGTATGATTATTACCTGGGTGACAAAGTCATTTGTACACCAAACCCCAGCAACATACAATTTGCCCATGTAACAAGCGTGCACATGTATGCCCTCAACATAGCAAAAATCACACTTACTTTTGCACCAACCTAATACAAGTTGGAAGAAAAAACAAAAGAGTCATATTGACTATGGTATAATTTCAGAGTTTACCAATTCTCTGTACCCTACAGACACTACAGAAGTTTGGTTTTTGTATCTCTTCTCACAGGAGAATGAATACATTCTATATTGTATTTTTTCTCACAGAAATACATGTTATGCAGGGCTTTCTAGAAAAGACAAACTCAGTTTTAGGAGAATACCCTGTGTTGGGATTTATACTATCCCTGTACCCCAGCTGGGGCTCAAGTCTTGGAATCACTACTTTCCCAGATATACACCTCCTTTAAGCATTCAGATTTTTAAAACTGTGGAAATATATGTACCAGCGTACTTAAAAATATTTGGTCACAGAATTGTCCTTCATGTTGTTCTTAGGCATCCTCTCTCCCTCCTCAGGTGATTGGAGGGAGGCTGAGTTGCATAGTGTGACTTAATGTTTTTCTTTCTTTTATGTAGCAGTCACAATCACATTTATATTTTATATCTAAAGGTCTTACAGGCCTTGAACTATAAAGCATTATGTTTCAAACACATAGTAATGAGAAAACATTTCTTATTACTCATTATTTATTATTATTTATTTATTTATTATTAACTCATTATTTATTCTCCATTTGCTCTTCCATTAAACCATTCCTTCTCCAAAGGTTTAGAGCAGAATAAGGAGAAATAATACTCCAAAGATAATTTATGGTAAACCTCTGTTATGTATTCCCTTTTAAAAAAAAATAATGTGTGCGGCTGGACGCCGTGGCTCATGCGTGTAATCCCAGCACTTGAAGAGGCGGGTCAATCACCTGAGGTCAGGAGTTTGAGACCAGCCTGGCCAACATAGTGAAAGCCCATCTCTACTAAAAATACAAAAAATTAGCTGGGCGTGGTTGTGGACACCTGTAATCTCAGCTCCTCGGGAGGCTGAGGCAGGAGAATCACTTGAACCCAGGAGGCGGAGGTTGCAGTGAGCCAAGATCACACCATTGCACTCCAGCCTGGGCAACAAGAGCAAAACTCCACCTCTAAAATAATAATGATAATAATGTGTGCATACATACACATATATGTACATATATATGCTAATACCATATAGTTATATTTTAAATTGTATGTATCTAATTCTTAAAATAGCATATAAAACATTCCTTGAAAACAATTTATATTTGTATAGTACTGAATCTGGCTTAATATCACCTGTGAGGAATTAGAAGCCCCACTTCTTTCATTAGCATCAAGTATACCAAGATATTCCAGCACCTCTGTTTTGCCATAAATGGTGTTATCTTCCATATTAATTGATGAACCCTTTTTATTCCTTTTTTAAATTATACTTTAAGTTCTGGGGTACATGTGTAGAATGTGCAGGTTTGTTACATAGGTATACATGTGCCATGGTGCTTTGTTGCACCCATCAACCCGTCATCTACACTAGGTATTTCTCCTAATGCTGTCCCGCACCCAGCCCCCCACCCCATGACAGGCCCCAGTGTGTGATGATCCCCTCCCTGTGTCCATGTGATCTCATTTTTAAACTCCCACTTATGAGTGAGAACATGCAGTGTTTGGTTTTCTGTTCATGCGTTAGCTTGCTGAGAATGATGGTTTCCTGCTCCATCCATGTCCCTGCAAAGGACATGAACTCATCCTTTTTTATGGCTGCATAGTATTCCATGGTGTATATGTGCCACATTTTCTTTATCCATTCCATCATTGATGGGCATTTGGGTTGGTTCCAAGTGTTTGCACTGTGAACAGTTCTGCAATGAACATATGTGTGCATGTGTCTTTATAGTAGAATGATTTATTATCCTTCGGGTATATACCCAGTAATGGGACTGCTGGGTCAATTTTCTAGTTCTAGATCCTTAAGGAATCGCCACACTGTCTTCCACAATGGTTGAACTAATTTATACTCCTACCAACAGTGTAAAAGCATTCCTATTTCTCCACATCCTCTCCAACATCTGTTGTTTCCTGACTTGTTAATGATTGCCATTCTAACTGGCATGAGATGGTATCTCATTGCAGATTTGATTTGCATTTCTGTAATAACCAGTGATGAGCATTTTTTCATGTTAGTTGGCTGCATAAATGTCTTTTTTTGAGAAGTGTCTGTTCATATCCTTCGCTCACTTTTTGATGGAGTTGTTTTTTTCTTGTAAATGTGTGTAAGTTCTTTGTAGATTCTGGATATTAGCCCTTTGTCAGATGGATAGATTGCAAAAATTTTCTCCCATTCTGTAGGAGGCCTGTTTACTCTGATGATAGTTTCTTTTGCTGTGCAGAAGCTCTTTAGTTTAATTAGATCCCATTTGTCAATTTTGGCTTTTGTTGCCATTGCTTTTGGTGTTTTAGTCATGAAGTCTTTGCCCATGCCTATGTCCTGAATGATACTGCCTAGGTTTTCCTCTAGGGTTTTTATAGTTTTAGGTTTTACATTTAAGTCTTTAATCCATCTTGAGTTAATTTTTGTATAAGATGTAAGGAAGGGATCCAGTTTCAGCTTTCTGCATATGGCTAGCCTATTTTCCCAATACCATTTATTAAATAGGGAATCATTTCCTTATTGCTTGTTTTTGTCAGGTTTGTCAAAGATCAAATTGTTGTAGATGTGTGGTGGTATTTCTGAGGCCTCTGTTATGTTCCACTGGTCTATACATATCTGTTTTGCTACCAGTACCATGCTGTTTTGGTTACTGTGAACTTGTAGTACAGTTTGAAGTCAGGTAGTGTGATGCCTCCAGCTTTATTCTTTTGGCTTCACATTGTCTTGGCTATATGGGATTTTTTTTTGGTTCCATGTGAAATTTAAAGTAGTATTTTCCAATTCTGTGAAGAAAGTCAATGGTAGCTTGATGGGGAATAGCATTGAAATTATAAATTACTTTTCACGATATTGCTTCTTCCTATTCCTGAGCATGGAATGTTTTTCCATTTGTTTGTTTCCTCTCTTGTTTCCTTCAGCATTGGTTTGTAGTTCTCCTTGAGGTCCTTCCCATCCTTGTAAGTTTGAATCCTAGGTATTTTATTCTCTTTGTAGCAATTGTGAAAGGGAGTTCACCCATGATTTGGCTCTCTGTTTGTCTGTTATTGGTGTATAGGAATGCTTGTGATTTTTGCACATTGATTTTGTATCCTGATATTTTGCTGAAGTTGCTTATCAGCTTAAGGAGATTTTGGGCTGAGATGATGGCGTTTTCTAAATATACAATCATGTCATCTGCAAACAGAGACAATTTGACTTCTGCTTTTGCTAATTGAATATACTTTATTTATTTCTCTTGCTTGATTGCCGGGCCAGAACTTCTAATACTATGTTGAATAGGAGTGGTAAGAGAAGGCATCCTTGTCCTGTGCCGGTTTTCAAAGGGAATACTTCCAGTTTTTGCCCATTCAGTATGATATTGGCTGTGGGTTTGTCATAAATAGCTCCAAACCAGAACAAAACAAACTCCCTTTAAGAAGAAAACTAACATCCACTGAACACCTAACTTTGTTCTAATTTCCCAAGTCTCCTATTTGACAATGAAAGGATGGGTTAATTAAGATATACATTTTTAGCAATAACTTTAGACATGTCACTTCATGGATGTGAAAACTGAATGTGACACTGGGGCCTGTTGGGGGAATAGTCGGGGAGAGCATCAGGAAAAATAGCTAATGCATGCTGGGCTTAATACCTAGGTGATGTGTTGATAGGTGCAGCAAACCACCATGGCATACGTTTACGTATGTAACAAATCTGCACATCCTGCACAGGTACCCCAGAACTTTAAAATAAATAAAATAAAATAAATAAGAGTGTTAAAAAAAGTTAAGTGGCCTTGACTTTTTCTCTAATCCCATTTTCCCCATCAATGTTCCCACACATGGTATGATTCTGCATCAATTCTTCAGGATTTATTTCAACTCATGCCTTCTTACGTTCTGCCCCCAAGAACTTTTGTATATACTGTTCCCTCTGCCTGGCACACTCTTACCTAATTCTGCCAGTCCACTGATTCTTATTTATTATTTAGACTCCATCTCAAATCTCACTTCCTTTGGAGTGTGTTCCCTGACATTTCAGATTAAATCAGTCCCCAACCCCATTAAGCATCTTGATGTTTGATGCATATTGTCCTCTCCCTTGAGATTTGAATTACAAAAGAAGGACCCTAATGCTGTTTTGTTAATCTTGCATCCAGCGTGGACTGTCTTGCCTGACACGTGGTAGTATTTTAAAATACCTATCTGAGAAATAAAAAGTAAAATTCTGCTAGATAATAAATGGTAAAGCTGGGATTTGAAATGGAGCCTTTCTTACTCCAAAGACCAGGCTTTCCCTATTTCCTCTTAAAAGCTCACACGCGTGCGTGCACACACACACACACACACACACACACACACACTCTCACACTCTATATTACAATTTAGAAAAAGGACTAGGGAACAAAAATAATTTGTGTGTTTCTGAAATTAAATTCAGATGAATCAACAGCATATATGGTTTCAAATGAGTATGCCTCATTGTCTATTTTATCCCTCATGTGTTAAAGCAAAGTAACCTAAAAGCTCCAGTGACATTGTTGAAGGCTAATAGATTTTATGAGTTGTTGTGGATATGCAACTAGATTGAGCTAAAAATGCCCAACTATAATATTGAGCTTTATCAAACTTAATTATGTGACTAATCTGACTAGGGATTTACTCCCCAATTTTACATAATTAAATAGCCATCACTCTTGAAACTGTAATAGGCTAACCACCCCCAGCACAGAATATAAGAAATACACTTTCAAGGTAAGCCCTACACAAGCTCCCAACATCTCAGCCACCCAGTGGGCTGATTTTTGGATTCACGAACAAAAAACTGGATTTTCCTCTGAAAAAATCCAGTTTCTCAGAGGAAAATTGCATTACACATGTCATTTTGAAGGTGTCTTTTGATCTTCCCTTTATTTCTCTACATAAGCAGTCTTGCTTTATCACCTCTACTTCTGGTGTTTTCTTGAATTGTTCTTGCTGATCTGAGGAAGGCTTGGAGGTGTTCACAACATGACCCAATATTCTTTTCAGGATTGCCCATGATAGGAAGAAAAGTATCTAGCAAATTAAATTTAAAAGTTACTTTCAGGGTGGGCACAGTAGCTCACGCCTGTAATCCCAGCACTTTGGGAAGCTGAGGCAGGCAGATCACAAGGTCAGGAGTCCGAGACCAGCCTGGCCAATATGGTGAAACCCCATCTCTATTAAAAATACAAAAAAATTAGCCGGGCGTGGTGCCACATGCCTGTAATCCCAGCTACTTGGGAGGCTGAGGCAGGAGAATTGCTTGAACCCAGGAGGCGGAGGTTGCAGTGAGCCAAGATTGCACCACTGCACTACACCCTGGGTGACAGAGCGAGACGCCATCTCAGAAAAAAAAAATTACTTTGTTTTTTTTATCCTTTTAATGATTAAGAAAAATAAAATTTCAGACATATTTTGTGAATATTCATAAATTGTCAAGTACCATATTTTTAAATATTTTTACACAATTTTGCCAAATAATATAAAATATAAATGTATGCTAAATTAACCTAGTTCTCTTGGTGTTTTCTTTTTATAAAGTCTATATTTTATCTCAAGGGAATATTACTAGATGTGGCTTAATTGCTTATAATGATAACGATAATTGGATATATTGTTCTTGATTAAATTTTCAATGATCTTAGTATTTAATAATCTAATGTCAATTATTTTATTATTGAGTATTGTTTTACAGCTCCTGAAATATAATATAATTAGAATCACAATGATTAATGTGGAGTATTAACCATATCACTGATAATTAATCTCAATCACAAATGCAAAAACATATTTTAAAATCTATTCAGTGGAAAGATCTGAAGTTCTAGCAGTCCTTTCAGAAGAATCATAACACGATATGGAAATATTTTTTGTCCCACATACAAACACAAAAGGAAAAAGAAGGTCTATTTACACGGTTCTTAAGAGTATGTACCCTAAAAGAAAAAAATCAACCAGAATAATCTTTACTTTAGAATTTGCCAGAGAACAATTGAATTGCATGGTATTTTTAATATTGAATTCAAAATTTTTAGCTAATCTTTGTTCAATTGCCTGTCAATGTTAGGAAATCTGACTAGTGCTCAATGAATGCAAACAGTTACTTTGCCAGTGGGAAGCCCCATGGGCAAACGAATGATCTGATCCTAACATAAAGACCAGAAGCAATCTGTGATAGAAGGAGGTGCCATTTAAGCACCTAGCAACTTGATGGCTTCCTGCAAATGAAAAGGTCACTACCTTAGAAACACATTTATTTAGGATAGAAGGGAATATGTGGTACATTTCTAGGAACACAGTTTTTCCTATCAACTAAAACTCAAAATTTTATTTTCTAAGTCCTTAATCAAAAGCCTAAGTTTTATTAAGAAATCAAAGATGGATAAATCACAACTCTGCCAATTGAGAGGTTATTTTTTTACTGGAGAAACAAAACATAAATATCATACAATCACATAAAAGGAGAAAGCAATATGTAATTGAATGCAAAAATGAGTGGCACACTTTAATGGTGTTAGACATTAAAGAGATCACTAAGACTGCAAATATTAGAAACTTTTTAGGTAATAGGTGGATCTTAGATAAAGTCTTAATTATAAGTAATATATCAGTTGGCAAAATAAAAACCTTGGCAAGTGGGGAAACAGGATTCAGCAAAGGGCCAGAAGAATTCATAGACGAGTGGACATGGTAAGATAACTAAGAGACTGACAAGTACAGCATAAAATTTCTGTTGTTGAGCTGTCATAGATATAGATAACCAAATAAGAAAAGCCTAAACAGGAAACATGGGGACTTGAATTCCAAATGAACGTGTTTAGACTTAATTCTTTTGGCAATAGTCTACCATTCAAAGTTTTAAGTGAGGAAATTCATTTTAAGTTTTTCAGAGATATGACAAGATATAGTGGAATCTGGGGACAGTTCCATGTCACCTGTGGAAATTACTTGAATAAATATGAGAATTGAATAAGTCTCCCTAACAGAAATATCCACTATATCTATTTAAATCCCTTTAAAAATCAATTTGTAGTTGCAGTTTAATAAGTATTTTTAAGCTAATGAATATATTTTATATTTACTTAAATATAAAATATCTGTAGATATATGGGGTAATTTGTTAAGATAAAAATATTGCCCCAAAAATCACATGTAGCCCATAAATATGTACAAGTATCATGTATCAATAAAAAAAGTGTGTCTTCATCAAAAATCTAAGTTGATGTTTATAATTTTTATTTATATTTGTGGGAATAGCCAACTTACAGGCCTGAATCTTTCTTAAAAGCATACATTTGCTTTTATTTCATACTAATTCCTTTATATTTTTATGACTGATGGAATCAATTTTTTAATGCAAATGTGATAAACAACAAAGTAGATACACACATACTCAGGTTTTATAGGAAGGTTTATTGCTTTCAATTAAGAACAATTTTGTTAAGCTTAAGATTTGAGTCAGTAATTTCTGAAGGTTGACGATTGTAATGCTCAAAAATGATCAGATGAGAGAGTTGATTTCCAACACGATGGAATTTTGCTATTTTCTGCCTTTTTGAATATTTATCTACAGAATTTGCCTATTTCATCTATCTCCTTAGTCTTTGCTAACACCTGTGCAAGTTTAGAACTTGCTGTGTAATGATACAGTAGCTATGTGAATAATATCACAGTAGGTCACCCTCATCTCTGTGGTGTTCAGCAGTTACTTGACCTTTCCAGGCATCTACTCTGAATACATAAACTTAATGGATAGAATTCATGGCTCACTAAATTTTTCTTCCATACTCTATTTAGTGGAGAGTAGTTAGTGATTACCGTTATGTCAGTCCAAATGACAAACCTGAACAATCACTGTAAGTTTGGAAGAACAATTAAAGGTAGTTCAAACACCAGTGGTCCTCAAGAGAGTTTTACATACAATTATGCAAAAAAGAAAAACTATTCTGCTCATTTGACCTTTAAAGCACCCTCGGTGCTGATTTTAGAGAAAGCATTTAAAAAGCCTTGATGGAAAAAATTTACACTGCATGGTGAGCTAAGCAAACTGTTCATCAGCAAATGCTAAACAATAATGTTGTAGGACTGTTTTTCTATGTTCAGTCAGATTCAATCGAGCACAATCAGCACAAGATTGCCTCTGCTCTAATAAGCCTAAGGGGAAAGATACAACTGCTGTTAAAAAGTGTGCCTCTTGAATAAAATAACAACCTGCTAGATGAAATATTAGAATTGCATCTATGACAAAGAAAACCTGATGGCCTACGTAGGTATAATGGAGGCGTGCTTACCTTTCATCTTCCTGCAACATAGCTGCCAGCTCTCTGAATATATGTATGAGAAAAGATGATGTGCCATCCTTGTATTCATTTACAATGGGTAATTTATTTCAGATAAGATAATATCTTTGAAAACAAGAATAACCATGAAGAATTTTAAGTATGAAAGAAAAATTCCCATACTTATCCAAAGGTGAAAACCTGCACAACTATTATATAGATAATAGTATTCCCGATGGTGAAGCTGACTACCTTCTGTGACAATGAATAGAAATTCTCTAAAATAACAAAAATCCTAACTTTCAAGGAAAAACCTCAAATGCAATATATCTATAAATAATTTCCCTCATGATATATTCACTTTTCCCCAAAATCCTTTTTCTTCTGTTCATTTATTTATTTCAAAAATCATAGCAATTCTCTAGCTTAGAGTTGATAGTCAAAGGCTAATCACCTGATCCATTGCTGTTCTGCAGAAAATCTTAAGGAACTGAATTCCATGCAGCTAATACTATTTGAGAGAGACATGAATTGTGATTTTAACAGAAACTATTATCAGGACCAGCTCCGATTAAAAAGTCAGATTTTATACTCCATCAGCACTAACACAGCTTCAAATAAGAAAATATAAGAGATATTTTTGTACAATGAGTCAAAAATTCAGTCATCTTGATACTCTCCATACATCAGGTACCAAAATTTCAGTCAGGGTCTTACCAGGGAAACAGAACTAACAGAAAACTTATATTAAAAAAATTATTTCAAGGAATTGGCTTATGTAATTGTAGGTTTTAGATGAACAGGTACAAAGTTTGCAGAGCAGGCCAGCAATTTGATGACAAATCATTAAAATTGCTTATAATTTGATTCAATAATTCATCTGTAGTGAATAAATTTTCCTTATGAGAAAATAACTAAACAAGGGTGAGATGACTTCCCAAGTATTAATTACTACATAATTGTGGTGGTGATTCTATAATTTCAAAAAATAAACTAAATAGACAATAATGGGATTCACTTAAATAGTGATATAGTCATATAAGAGAAAATGGTGAAAACCAGAAAATAAATCCAGATATATAGTTATTGACCTATATTTTAGGTCAATTGATATAATTATAAAAGCCAAGTGTGGATGTTGGGTAAATTTGTTTATTTTTATAAAATTTTATAATGAGCTTATATTGCTTGTATAGTAAGGAAAGAAAACATAGAGTTCATATATATTGTTTTATGTTAGTCTTTCAGTTGTCATAATCAAAGATCAAATAAATATATTTGATATCTTAATGTGTTTCATTTATAAGAAATGAGTTCATTAGCAAAGTGTTAGTGAATAACTATTGTTGCTATTTTAATATCATAAAACAGTACAAACTTTTTCCAAACATTAAATTTTAGAGAATTATTAAAGCAGTTGTGCTTTTTTATTTTTATCATTTAATGAATAGCTTCCTGGAAGCTATATTCTCCCTCAGATATTTTTAACAGTTTAATTGTAAGAAGTAATTAACCCAGAAAGCTTCTAGTTTGCTTCTAAATACAGAATCCAAGAATATCCAGTGGTTTCTAAAAATGTTGAACCATTTTTTCTCCCATAGTCTTAACATAGGGAATATCATTGATATTTTCAAAAAATTGTCAAAGCTTTCTTTATCAAAGCCCCAAAGTTGGCTGCATGACCATACCTGGTCTTAGGTCTATGAGGTTTATATCATTATACAGATAGGAGGATTTGAAGAATATGTGTAAATATTTTCTCAAGAAGAAAAAAGGTGCATACATCATAGACATGATTTCACTGTTTTATTATATTTATTCTAAATGTATTATAAACCTGGATAAATGTGTTTGGATGTCTGTATATTTGTGGTATGTGTGTATATGTGGATAAATATGTTTGAACGTGTGTATATTTGTGTGTGTGTGTGTGTGTAAAACCTGACAATATTCACATATCAAGAACACTTCACCAAACAACAGACTTTCCAGTGTCATGAAAATATCATTAAAATTGACCATATGCTGGGCAATGCAGCCTGAGTCAACATATTTCAAAGAATTAAAAGAGAATAATTTACAGGATTGTCCTATTTAATCCATCTCCTTCCATCTCCTAACGCGTGTTCAAGTTTCTTACTGAAAGAGAATCATTTACAGGATTGACCTATTTAATCCCTCTCCTTCTGTCTCCTAACACGTGTTCAAGTTTAAAACTTGCTGTGTAATAATGTGGTAAGCATGTAAATAATATCAATGTAGGTCAGCCACAACTTTATGGTGTTCAGCAGTTACTTGGCCTTTCCTGGCATCTACCTTCAATACCTATTATTAAATACCTATAAAATTATTAAAAGTTTAAAGATAATATTTTCTGGACAATCTCAATTTGAGCTAAAATTAGAATATTAAAAAATGACCAGAAAAATACCTGTGTATTTGTGAATTTGACAATGCAATTCTAAATACCACTGAGGCCAAAGAAAACAATCACAAAGGAAATTAGAAAATATTTTGAACAGATAATAATGAAAAATAGAACTTGTTGAATATGGTTAAATTTATGTTTAGAAAAAATTTTCTATCCTGAAAGCGCATGTTAGATTAAAAACCTTAGAAACAAAAGAGTAAATAAAGCACAGAGAAAGTTAAAGGAAGGAAATCATAAAGAGCAGAAGTCAATGAAGTAGAAAACAGAGAATGGAGACTATCAACAGTGCCAAAAGTGTGTTCTTTGAAATTTTCTGCTTTCTACCAACATTGATTTACAAAACAAAATTAGAAAGGACACAATTAGCCAAATACCATACCAAAAAATGGCAGATGTGGGAGTTCCAAAACCAATACCAATAACAAAAGGAAATTATGAAACATTTTTGCCAATAACTGAAATTTTAGATTAAAAAATCCTATAAAAAATACAATGTGACAAAACAGACATGATCATAGATAATTTATATCAACTAAATACATGTAATCCATATTTATCATCTCCACAAAGAAAACACAAAGAAAATTTCAGGCCCAGTAGGCTATACTAGTGAATTCTATCATACATAAAAGGTAGATATAACATCAGTGTAACACAATCTTTCTGAATGTGAGGACAGCATAGGCTTGATACTAAAATCTTACCAGAGCAGTACACGGATTGAAATTGAAAGGTCTATCCCTTATTAACTGTATGTAAAAATTCCTTAACATATGGAAAAGTAAATCCACTGTTATATAAGAAAGCCATATATCATAACCAAGTTAAACTTACTCCAAGAATACACCCAAACTTTTGAAAACCAGCAAACATAATTCATTACACATAAGAGAGAAAGAAAGAGATATTTAATTATCTCAATTAAAAAAACTGAGCAAAGTAAGGTAATTTACTATACAAAATATCAATAATTATAAGGCGTTAGCATTAGGCAGTATCAGTATCAGGCAGTGTAATATTGACACAAAGGTAGAAATATGAACCAATAAAAGAGAGAGAGCCCAGGAATACACACACATACACACCCTTGTGTGCACACACATGCATGCACACACACAGCCAAAACAATGTTAAGGGGGAAAAAATGAAGTAGGAGGACTTACTCTACTGTGTATTAAATACTGTACTTTTAGAGTAAGTCTTAAGACATTGATATATTGGTACAAAGATAGAAAAATTGACCAGTAGAACAGAAAAGAGAGTCTAGAAACAGACCTACATATATATGGACATGATTTATGACAGAAGCGATACTGCAGAACAGTGGAGAATGGATAGTTTTCTTCCACTCATGTTACTGAGTCGATTGGATTTCCATAGAGAAAAAATAAAAACTGATACATACTTGGGACTATATAAAAACCAATCTCAGGTGGATTGTAGATCTAAATGTCAATACTAAAATATAGTTTCAAAAATGGAGTAAGTCAGGAACAACAACAAAATACTAATTATTAAGGAAAAGATTGATCAATTGGTATAAATTAAGATGAAAAACTTCTGATTATTAAAAAACACCATTAAAAAACTAAAACAGTAAGATACCCAAAGTAAAAAGAAAATCCTTGCAAAATATATAATCAGTAGAGCACATATACTGAACATAGAACTCTAAGTACTTTTTTGTTAAATGCTCAACAGAAATGCACATTTCTGTACATCAAACAATACATACAAGCATGTCTATAGCAGCACTATTCATAGCTCAACAATTTAAAATTTCACAGTATACCAACATTAGAATAATTTGTGAAGTATCTGACTATATATCTTGAAAATAAATAAACTATTCAATTCAAAAATATATATCTCAAAAACATAATGTTGAATGAGGATAGAAGAGTTGTGAGAGAGAGTATGTGTGTGCGTGTGTGTCTGTGCATGTGTGTGCATGCTTGTGTATGTTGTGGTGGAGTAGTCTAGGTAGTAATTTTGTGCCTTTTGTCCTGGGTAGTGGTTACTTGACTATGTTCACAATATAATATTTCATAGAGCTTTATCCTTTACCCTCTTTATTATGTATGCCATAATTCAATATAAATATATGAAAACCAGAATGTCACATATTCATGGAACAGAATGGCATTGATTGTTGGATGCTATGTAGGTGTCTTTTATAATATGTGTACTATTATTTTGTTTTTTTGTTTTTTTTTCTTTTTTTTTAATTATACTTTAAGTTTTAGGGTACATGTGCACATTGTGCAGGTTAGTTACATATGTATACATGTGCCATGCTGGTGCGCTGCACCCACTAACTCCTCATCTAGCATTAGGTATATCTGCCAATGCTATCCCTCCCCCCTCCCCCCAACCCGACAACAGTCCCCAGAGTGTGATATTCCCCTTCCTGTGTCCATGTGATCTCATTGTTCAATTCCCACCTATGAGTGAGAATATGCGGTGTTTGGTTTTTTGTTCTTGCGATAGTTTACTGAGAATGATGATTTCCAATTTCATCCATGTCCCTACAAAGGACACGAACTCATCATTTTTGATGGCTGCATAGTATTCCATGGTGTATATGTGACACATTTTCTTAATCCAGTCTATCATCGTTGGACATTTGGGTTGGTTCCAAGTCTTTGCTATTGTGAATAATGCTGCAATAAACATACGTGTGCATGCGTCTTTATAGCAGCATGATTTAGAGTCCTTTGGGTATATACCCAGTAATGGGATGGCTGGGTCAAATGGTATTTCCAGTTCTAGATCCCTGAGGAATCGCCACACTGACTTCCACAATGGTTGAACTAGTTTACAGTCCCACCAACAGTGTAAAAGTGTTCCTATTTCTCTACATCCTCTCCAGCACCTGTTGTTTCCTGACTTTTTAATGATCGCCATTCTAACTGGTGTGAGATGGTATCGCATCATGGTTTTGATTTGCATCTCTCTGATGGCCAGTGATGATGAGCATTTTTTCATGTGTCTGTTGGCTGCATAAATGTCTTCTTTCGAGAAGTGTCTGTTCATATCCTTCGCCCACTTTTTGATGGGGTTGTTTGTTTTTTTCTTGTAAATTTGTTTGAGTTCATTGTAGATTCTGGATATAAGCCCTTTGTCAGATGAGTAGGTTGCAAAAATTTTCTCCCATTTTGTCAGTTGCCTGTTCACTCTGATGGTAGTTTCTTTTGCTGTGCAGAAGCTCTTTAGTTTAATTAGATCCCATTTGTCAATTTTGTCTTTTGTTGCCATTGCTTTTGGTGTTTTAGACATGAAGTCCTTGCCCATGCCTATGTCCTGAATGGTAATGCCCAGGTTTTCTTCTAGGGTTTTTATGGTTTTAGGTCTAATGTTTAAGTCTTTAATCCATCTTGAATTGATTTTTGTATAAGGTGTAAGGAAGGGATCCAGTTTCAGCTTTCTACATATGGCTAGCCAGTTTTCCCAGCACCATTTATTAAATAGGGAATCATTTCCCCATTTCTTGTTTTTGTCAGGTTTGTCAAAGATCAGATAGTTGTAGATATGCGGCGTTATTTCGGAGGGCTCTATTCTGTTCCATTGATCTATATCTCTGTTTGGTACCAGTGCCATGCTGTTTTGGTTACTGTAGCCTTGTAGTATAGTTTGAAGTCAGGTAGCGTGATGCCTCCAGCTTTGTTCTTTTGGCTTAGGATTGACTTGGCGATGCAGGCTCTTTTTTGGTTCCATATGAATTTTAAAGTAGTTTTTTCCAATTCTGTGAAGAAAGGCATTGGTAGCTTGATGGGGATGGCAATGAATCTGTAAATTACCTTGGGCAGTATGGCCATTTTCACAATATTGATTCTTCCTACCCATGAGCATGGAATGTTCTTCCATTTGTTTCTGTCCTCTTTTATTTAATTGAGCAGTGGTTTGTAGTTCTCCTTGAAGAGGTCCTTCACATCCCTTGTAAGTTTGATTCCTAGGTATTTTATTCTCTTTGAAGCAATTGTGAATGGGAGTTCACTCATGATTTGGCTCTCTGTTTGCTGTTATTGGTGTATAAGAATGCTTGTGATTTTTGTACATTGATTTTGTATCCTGAGACTTTGCTGAAGTTGCTTATCAGCTTAAGGAGATTTTGGGCTGAGACAATGGGGTTTTCTAGATATACAATCATGTCGTCTGCAAACAGGGACAATTTGACTTCCTCTTTTCCTAAATGAATACCATTTATTTCCTTCTCCTGCCTAATTGCCCTGGCCAGAACTTCCAACACTATGTTGAATAGGAGTGGTGAGAGAGGGCATCCCTGTCTTGTGCCAGTTTTCAAAGGGAATGCTTCCAGTTTTTGCCCATTCAGTATGATATTGGCTGTGGGTTTGTCATAGATAGCTCTTATTATTTTGAAATACGACCCATCAATACCTAATTTATTGAGAGTTTTTAGCATGAAGGGTTGTTGAATTTTGTCAAAGGCCTTTTCTGCATCTATTGAGATAATCATGTGGTTTTTGTCTTTGACTCTGTTTATATGCTGGATTACATTTATTGATTTGCATGTGTTGAACCAGCCTTGCATCCCAGGGATCAAGCCCACTTGATCATGGTGGATAAGCTTTTTGATGTGTTGCTGGATTCGTTTTGCCAGTATTTTATTGAGGTTTTTTGCATCAATGTTCATCAAGGATATTGGTCTAAAATTCTCTTTTTTTGTTGTATCTCTGCCTGGTTTTGGTATCAGAATGATGCTGGCCTTATAAAATGAGTTAGGGAGGATTCCCTCTTTTTCTATTGATTGGAATGGTTTCAGAAGGAATGGTACCAGTTCCTCCTTGTACCTATGGTAGAATTCGGCTGTGAATCCCTCTGGTCCTGGACTCTTTTTGGTTGGTAAGCTATTGATTATTGCCACAATTTCAGATCCTGCTATTGGTCTATTCAGAGATTCAACTTCTTCCTGGTTTAGTCTTGGGAGAGTGTATGTGTCGAGGAATTTATCCATTTCTTCTAGATTTTCTACTTTAGTATTTGCGTAGAGGTGTTTGTAGTATTCTCTGATGGTGGTTTGTATTTCTGTGGGATTGGTGGTGATATCCCCTTTATCATTTTTTATTGCGTCTATTTGATTCTTCTCTCTTTTTTTCTTTATTAGTCTTGCTAGCGGTCTATCAATTTTGTTGATCCTTTCAAAAATCCAGCTCCTGGATTCATTAATTTTTTGAAGGGTTTTTTGTGTCTCTATTTCCTTCAGTTCTGCTCTGATTTTAGTTATTTCTTGCCTTCTGCTAGCTTTTGAAAGTGTTTGCTCTTGCTTTTCTAGTTATTTTAATTGTGATGTTAGGGTGTCAATTTTGCATCTTTCCTGCTTTCTCTTGTGGGCATTTAGTGCTATAAATTTCCCTCTACACACTGCTTTGAATGCGTCCCAGAGATTCTGGTATGTTGTGTCTTTGTTCTCATTGGTTTCAAAGAACATCTTTATTTCTGCCTTCATTTCTTTATGTACCCAGTAGTCATTCAGGAGCAGGTTGTTCAGTTTCCATGTAGTTGAGCGGTTTTGAGTGAGTTTCTTAGTCCTGAGTTCTAGTTTGATTGCAGTGTGGTCTGAGAGATAGTTTGTTATAATTTCTGTTCTTTTACATTTGCTGAGGAGAGCTTTACTTCCAAGTATGTGGTCAATTTTGGAATAGGTGTGGTGTGATGCTGGAAAAAAATGTATATTCTGTTGATTTGGGGTGGAGAGTTCTGTAGATGTCTATTAGGTCTGCTTGGTGCAGAGCTGAGTTCAATTCCTGGGTATCCGTGTTGACTTTCTGTCTCGTTGATCTGTCTAATGTTGACAGTGGGGTGTTAAAGTCTCCCATTATTAATGTGTGGGAGTCTAAGTCTCTTTGTAGGTCACTCAGGACTTGCTTTATGGATCTTGGTGCTCCTGTATTGGGTGCATATATATTTAGGATAGTTAGCTCTTCTTGTTGAATTGATCCCTTTACCATTATGTAATGGCCTTCTTTGTCTCTTTTGATGTTTGTTGGTTTAAAGTCTGTTTTATCAGAGACTAGGATTGCAACCCCTGCCTTTTTTTGTTTTCCATTTGCTTGGTAGATCTTCCTCCATCCTTTTATTTTGAGCCTATGTGTGTCTCTGCACATGAGATGGGTTTTCTGAATACAGCACACTGAAGGGACTTGACTGTTTACCCAATTTGCCAGTCTTTGTCTTTTAATTGGAGCATTTAGCCCATTTACATTTAAAGTTAATATTATTATGTGTGAATTTGATCCTGTCATTATGATGTTAGCTGGTTATTTTGCTCGTTAGTTGATGCAGTTTCTTCCTAGTCTTGATGGTCTTTACATTTTGGCATGATTTTGCAGCGGCTGGTACGGGTTGTTCCTTTCCATGTTTAGCGCTTCCTTCAGGAGCTCTTTTAGGGCAGGCCTGGTGGTGACAAAATCTCTCAGCATTTGCTTGACTGTAAAGTATTTTATTTCTCCTTCGCTTATGAAGCTTAGTTTGGCTGGATATGAAATTCTGGGTTGAAAATTCTTTTCTTTAAGAATGTTGAATATTGGCCCCCACTCTCTTCTGGCTTGTAGGGTTTCTGCCGAGAGATCTGCTGTTAGTCTGATGGGCTTCCCTTGGAGGGTAATCCGACCTTTCTCTCTGGCTGCCCTTAACATTTTTTCCTTTATTTCAACTTTGGTGAATCTGACAATTATGTGTCTTGGAGTTGCTCTTCTCGAGGAGTATCTTTGTGGCGTTCTCTGTATTTCCTGAATCTGAATGTTGGCCTGCTTTGCTAGATTGGGGAAGTTCTCCTGGATAATATCCTGCAGAGTGTTTTCCAACTTGGTTCCATTCTCCCCATCACTTTCAGGTACACCAATCAGTCGTAGATTTGGTCTTTTCACATAGTCCCATATTTCTTGGAGGCTTTGCTCCTTTCTTTTTATTCTTTTTTCTCTAAACTTCCCTTCTCGCTTCATTTCATTCATTTCATCTTCCATCACTGATACCCTTTCTTTCAGTTGATTCGCATCGGCTCCTGAGGCTTCTGCATTCTTCACGTAGTTCTCGAGCCTTGGTTTTCAGCTCCATCAGCTCCTTTAAGCACTTCTCTGTATTGGTTATTCTAGTTATACATTCTTCTAAATTTTTTTCAAAGTTTTCAACTTCTTTGCCTTTGGTTTGAATGTCCTCCCGTAGCTCAGAGTAATTTGATCGTCTGAAGCCTTCTTCTCTCAGCTCGTCAAAGTCATTCTCCATCCAGCTTTGTTCCGTTGCTGGTGAGGAACTGCGTTCCTTTGGAGGAGGAGAGGCGCTCTGCTTTTTAGAGTTTCCAGTTTTTGTGTTCTGTTTTTTCCCCATCTTTGTGGTTTTATCTACTTTTGGTCTTTGATGATGGTGATGTACAGATGGGTTTTTGGTATGGATGTCCTTTCTGTTTGTTAGTTTTCCTTCTAACAGTCAGGACCCTCAGCTGCAGGTCTGTTGGAATACCCTGCCCTGTGAGGTGTCAGTGTGCCCCTGCTGGGGGGTGCCTCCCAGTTAGGCTGCTCCGGGGTCAGGGGTGAGGGACCCACTTGAGGAGGCAGTCTGCCCGTTCTGAGATCTCCAGCTGCGTGCTGGGAGAACCACTGCTCTCTTCAAAGCTGTCAGACAGGGACATTTAAGTCTGCAGAGGTTACTGCTGTCTTTTTGTTTGTCCGTGCCCTGCCCCCAGAGGTGGAGCCTACAGAGGCAGACCGGCCTCCTTGAGCTGTGGTGGGCTCCACCCAGTTGGAGCTTCCTGGCTGCTTTGTTTACCTAATCAAGCCTGGGCAATGGCGGGCACCCCTCCCCCAGCCTCGCTGCCTCCTTGCAGTTTGATCTCAGACTGCTGTGCTAGCAATCAGCGAGACTCCGTGGGCGTAGGACCCTCGGAGCCAGGTGCGGGATATAATCTCGTGATGTGCCGTTTTTTAAGCCCGTTGGAAAAGCGCAGTATTCGGGTGGGAGTGACCCGATTTTCCAGGTGCCATCCATCACCCCTTTCTTTGACTCGGAAAGGGAACTCCCTGACCCCTTGCACTTCCCAAGTGAGGCAATGCCTTGCCCTGCTTCGGCTGGCGCACGGTGTGCACACCCACTGACCTGCGCCCACTGTCTGGCACTCCCTAGTGAGATGAACCCGGTACCTCAGATGGAAATGGCAGAAATCACCCATCTTCTGCGTCGCTCACGCTGGGAGCTGTAGACCGGAGCTGTTCCTATTCAGCCATCTTGGCTCCTCCCAAGAATGTGTACTATTATTTTGAAAAGGATTATGATAAAGCTTACTTGCTTGGTTAATAGATAAATTGAATAGTGCATCTACCAACTTTTTCTATAAGGGTTAGATAGTAAATATTTTTGGGCTTTTGGGACTTAAAGTCTTGTTTCAATTATTCAATTCTGTTATGAAAAAACCCATAGACTATATGTAAAGAAACATATGGCTGTGTGCCAATTAAAGTTTATTTACTTAGAGATGACAGGCAAGATTTGGCCTAGGGTATAGTTTGCCAATCTCTGGATTAAACAATTAGTTAAACATATGGCTAGAGTAAATGACACATGCATATCTACATGTTAAAGTATTGACAAAGTATTTTGTCTTTTTCATCTTTCTAAAAGAATGGGCATATGGAAATTATTACTCTGATCTCCCTAATTAAGTTATATTTGATTTATTCATTTGTTAATTTTTCTGTGCTTTGCTTATTGGTATAATTTATATTTCTACAACTAATTACTGTCTGCAATATATCTGTTTTCCACCTAAGTATATATTGTACACTGTATGACTGCATTGAAATTTGATTCTTTTTAATATTTTTCACTCATACAGAAAATTTAATAATGTAAAAAGCTAAAATGGAATATTATAATCCATCATTGTTTCAGTTACAATTGAGAAAGATCTGTTTATCAGGATTTATTTATTTCATTGGTTGATTGCTATAATTTGTTGTTTTGTCAAACTGTAACTTTGTGTTTATGTACTTAAAGCATTAAGGATTCTAATTTATAACAGATTAATCTGCTTCTGGCTTTGTTTTATTGTGAAATAATCTATTTACTTAAATTATTCTTTTGATAATAGTTTAATTAATTTGTCAGATAAATGTTTATATGACTTATACTAAAACCATTTCTTTCTTAAATGGTTACAGGCAAGAATTGGATCCATGTAACGCTGAGCTGACTATTTTAGGGAGGAATACACAAATATGCGAATCTATCAATCATGTACTCGGAAAACCCCTGCCAAAATCAGGATCTGTCTTCATTGGTGGATTTCCAGACCTTCATGGGAAAATCCAGGTATTTCTATAGATGTTTTAAAATATTAATTATTGAAAATAATTATTGAAAATCATCATATTGATAAATGAAAAAGAAAAACTTTAGAAATATTTTCTGGCTAGTGGGGCCATCTGCATGGTTTCAAAAAAGTTTTTGAGTGACTCTACTAACATATATATTTTTATCTATCATACCAAAGTATAATAGAAGTTTACTGTTCTTTTTAAAAAATTGCTCCAATGTCAGTCTGTTTTTCCATCTTATGGCTATAGTATGTGTATTACATTTCTCAATACTATTTAGCATGTGTGATTTGTCCACTAAGATAGTGATTTTCACTGGATATTTCAAAAGATTCACTTAATAACACACCAAAAATATAGTTTGAGAAAAGGAATTGGAAGACCATCCCCAGTCTGTGTTTTGTATGAGATTACCAAAATGTGAGAACATTTATTACAGAGTTTTTCCCACATGCCAGCCCACTCTTTAAATTTCCATTTAGATAATTAGCTTATTGTCTTCATTATTAAGCTATATTTAAGGAAAATAGCTTGAAAGCTGACTTAAATGCTATTATTTGGTTCCATTTTATGTTGTTGCAGCAAATTGCTTTAAAAATTGAAGGTTGTTAAGTATACCAGTAGCTTATTACATTTATTAATCTTTTCCCTTATTATATTTACCATTGCATTTTACCTGTTTGAACATACTATTTTTATATTATTGGAAATATAAAATGCTATTGTTTCACAGTCCCACAAATAATGCAAATTGGTATACATACATCTAGTTACTGTAAATATCATGACTCCGTAGTATACAAGATAAAATAAAACAAAAATAGACATAAAAACAAAATTGACGAGCATATTTGATGTGATACATATGCCTTTAAGGAAATAAGATAATTCTGTATCTGTAAGCACGCAGAGATTTAGATTCAGATTTACTCCATTAGCAGTATGTTTATTGATCATTAAACAGATATTTGTGACTTTTTCTATAACATTAATGTGCTTCATTGACTTTTTCGTAAATGAAACCATTCTAAAAGTTCCATGATAGTAAAAAATATGTTTTGTTTATTTTTTTATACACCAAGGCAAGGACAGTTCCTGTCACATTGTTGGAGTTCAATGAACAGCTTTTAAATAAAGGCCTCAGTTAAAGAATGGATGAAACATAAATAAAACCTTTCATAAATTACATTTGTCCTCTTATTTCATAACTATACTTTTTCCCAAATAAAATATAAATTTTAATATAAAACTAAATTTAATTGAGTATACATTAATTGAGTGTAATATCTCAACTCAATTAGCTACCCCTGAATATAAATATAGCTGAGCATTTACTTTATTATAAATATAAACATGCAGAAGCAATATAGAAAAATAGAAAAAGATGTCTTCTGACCTCTCTGAAGAAGTAGAGGAGTTGTAATTAGAAATTTGAAGAAAGATCAAGTGTCTTCCTTGTAAATAATATGTAGGCTGTCATTGTAGACAGAGACAATATTACATATACACAGACTTAGGTAATGGAAAGGTCTGAGGGATGGGGAGGTGGAGTAGACATAATTTATTATTATGGAGACATGGGGTTTGATATGAAGTGAGCAGAAAGAACACTTGATTTTGGATAGGTGAGTGGGAGCCAGAGAATAATTAATCCTATGTAAAATGCAAAATGGTATATATTTACATATTGCTGCCATATACATATACTATACATTACATACTTCTTAAATGGGGGAGCCATTTAAAAAGTTTGAGTAGGAATTGTCATCATGCTATGTTCACTCTGATAGCAACCAAAGTGTACAACTGGAGGGGTTAGGACTACATCGTAAGAAATGGCAAAGTCAGGTTTGTTCAGAATAATTAAACAAAAAAGGTATTTTGGCAATAAGGGTGGGAGAATAATTATGAATGCTATTGAACTTAAAAATAATTATTGGCAAAAAATATATAGAAAATTTGGAATTTTAATGACCAGGTTGGCTTATGTAACCATAGAATTTATAGTCCCATTCTCAAAATGGGGAATGAATCTAGGATTATTTATAGGGAAAACGGCAGGTTTATCATTGCATTTGAGTTGCTGATATGGTTTGGCTGTGTCCCTACCTAAATCTCACCTTGAGTTGTAATAATCTCCATGTGTCAAGGGTGGGGCCAGGTGGAGATAATTGAATCATGAGGGTAGTTCTGTTCCCCATACTGTTCTCCTGGTAGTGAATAAGTCTCAGGAGATGTGATGGTTTTGTAAATGGGGGCTCCCCTGCACAAGCTCTCTTGCCTGATGCCATATAAGACGTGACTTTGCTCCACATTTGCCTTCCACTGTGATTGTGAGGCCTCACCAGCTGTGTGGAACTGTGAGTCAATTAAACCTCTTTCCTTTATCAATTACCCTGTCTCAAGTATGTCTTTATTAGCAATGTGAGAACAGACTAATACAGTTGCTTTTGGGCAGAAATGATTTTCAAATATTTAACAACTGGCTTGCCATCACCACTAATCCATCAGTCCTTTGTGTGTGTTCCTGCTGAATATCATTCCTATTAGTGGAATGTTGTGAGGCACAAGTCATTTGAAATACGGGCCTTCGGTTCACAAAAGATCATTAACATATGGCTGTGGGAGTCTGCACAGGAGATGGTGGAAGCCATAATAACTGATTGAATTGATTTTGAGGATTAAAATAAAAGAAGGCTGAGAATTGGGAATCAGCAATCAAGAACTAGGCTAAGAAAGAGGTACATGCCAAATTAGTTAAGGAATAGAGAGGCTGGCCGTAGACAAAGGAAAAAAATGTCACAAGAACCAAAGATGGAAAAAGAAGCATCTGTTGAACACCAATGTTACAAAAGTTCACCCACCAGTTTCTGGAGAAAAAATGTTAACAAAAATCAAATTGTAATATTCTGAGGAAGAATAAATGAACTGGAAGAAGCAACAGAGTGGTTTTAGGTTATTTTTCTAGAAGCTTGTTAATAAGTCAGAGAGGTTGTTATGTAGGGGAGGACAGAGTTTTGAAATTGCAGAAAGATGATGATAATAATTGACTAAATTTCGAAAGACTTTTTCTCCTAAAACCTTGTCTGAAACATTGGCCTTTACTAAAGGATTATCTCACTAAAAAACTCGACATTCATCCTGTGATGTAAGGGAACTGGACATTTGTTATAATCAAATTTGGAGGAACATTCAGTATTTGGACCAATAAAGTTACCTTGAAATTAAAAAGGCAGCCAGCTAAGCAGGTTTTCCCTCCTTGTTAAATATGCTGTAGTTGAAAGATTTTATGTCAGCCCCTCATTGATTTTTTATTCTTTTTTATACTGTTACAGTGTCACAGTAACTATGTGTGTATGTGTGTGTGCTAGAATATGTATCTGAGACATACACTTATATTGCTATATACCAGATGACTGATACAAACTGTAAAATGTATCTAGATGATAATTCTTAAAGAGAACTCGTATGATGAATCAGAAAAAGAAAGATAGGAAATTCAGCCTTCTGAATATGTTTCTGGGCAATGCAGCTCCTCTGAATATCTAAGTATCATGCAGGCTCTATCTAATCATTGTGTTCTGATTAAAAGCTGTTTAAGCACAGTAGGCTGTTAGTGCTCAGAAAATTAAAAACAACAGGTTTGTAATATAAAACACTAAGGAAAAGAACTATAGTTGATTCCTCGAGCCAAAAAGTGTTAAGTTACATTTATGCTCTCACCCCTAAGTTTCCAATAATGTCTTTCTGAACTGGCCAGAGCCCCTCCACATGATAAGAGTCCCTAATCCAATGTGTATGTGCTGACAGGTTGTTTAATGCTTCCTTTAACAAAATCACCCAGAGCTCAGGATGTGAGAAGAGAATGAAACAGACACTTTCAATTTTGTGCCTGGGGTGTGAAAAACTCTGCTTCCCCTGATGACCATAAATGATGATAACTTTCAAGGTCTGAGAGTAAATGCCTTCTCTCTGGTGGTAGAAAAACACTTTCCTTGGTAGTGCTTTAATTGCTTACACTTTTCAGTGCATGGACTCTTGCTTTCGGGTCCAAGTTAGTTAAGGACACCAAATCTTAATTCCTAGTAAATGCAGATGTTACCAGCTATTCTCTTTGCTAAGTATGAGAGGAAATAAAATAATTATGGAAATAAATAAATATTGTTAATCAATTAGATTTGTTTTTTATATATGCAGAAGTTGATATTATAAGTTCTAGAAAGATGCTACCTTTTTTTCAGATGTAAGTAAGTCACTAGGATTGAAAACACATGTGTGATTGCATGTACTATTATATTTGACTGGAATTTTTGAAGAATTAGTGACCGACTCCAAAAATGTAAACATTATCTTAATTTTCAAATTAGTTTATAATTTCAACACAGTAAAGAAGTTTAACAATTTAATTTTTTTTAATTTCTAGTGAATCCATTTGGAAATAGGGACACTGGTAAAGCAAATGAGTGTTATGCACTTCAGGTATGTTCAAGACATTGACTTACAAAGTCAATAATTAGTTTGCTCCATTCACTTTTATAAAAAGCCCTGTCAATCATTAGCCATCAAAATCCTTTAGCCAAAATAAATTACTATGAAATGTCTAAAACATAAAAACAGGATTCTCTTTAAGGACTTGTGAGAGATTCCTGAAAAACAAATGAAGAAAGAAACCACTTCAGTTATCTGTAGAAAATTTGGGTTGCTTATATTACTTGTCCCAGCTTATCAAGTTAGAGACATTATATGTATCTAGTGGCACCTCACTAAATGTGTTTATGATATTCTGTAAAAGGATGCGTGTCAACCTTTTTCAGCTCTTCAAAGACACTTGTCTAATGGACACAAAATAATTAGAAAAAATTAAAACACACCATTGAAGAAATCAAGAAAGGTAACAACATTCAACACTTTTGGGTTTTGTAAATTACAGGGATAAAAGTTAATCATTACCCTGTCCTCATTTTCTGTCCAACAATGTGTAAAAAGAGAATCACTGCACAACAAATGTAAGTCTCTTAAATAGCCATTTATAGGGGTCCACTTACTGGTGAAAATAAACCCAAACCTCTGATAAACATAAGCAAAGTAATAGAGACATCAAGGTTTCACTACCATGTTTTATGACCCATTGCTCCTTCTAGAAGTTATGTGGTAAATGATTCATTCATTCACCCATCTGCTTATTCCGCTGGACTACCATTTGGACTTGGGCATCTGGTGTCTATTCTGCTGAGGGCACTGAATCACAAGTCAAGACATTATCAGATGCAGACTCATCCAATAAGAATTATTTCCCATTCCTTGCACGTATAAGAATCACTCTCAATTTACAATTTATTCCTACATGAGGACCCACCTTATTTTTTGTTTGTTTGTTTGTTTTGAGACAGGTTCTCACTTTTGTCACCCAGGCTGAAGTGCACTGGTGCAATCTTGGCTCACTGCAGCCTCGACCTCCTGAGCTCAAACAATCTTCCCACCTCAGCCCCCCTAGTAGCTGGGACTACAGGCATGTACCACCATACCCTGCTATTTAAATTTAATTTAATTTTTATTTTTTGTAGATATGGGGTTTCTCTATGTTTCCCAGGCTTGTCTCAAACTCCTGAGCTCAAGTGATCCATCCACCTTAGCCTCCCAAATAGCTAGGATTACAAGCATGAGCCACCGTGCCCAGGCAGGCCTTGCCTTTCTTAGTGAGACAACAATACACCATGGATTGGACTCCACTCCCTGGAGCAGCAGAAACTGGCTCCTACCCAACAGAAGGAAACCTCTTTTCCCACCACTCCACTTTTTCCCACCCACCACTCTTCCCATTTTTTACTCTGATGCATCTTTTTTTCAGCTCTGCATCTATGTATTCCTGCCCTTATAAAACTCTTGAGTGCCAATAGTCCGGAAGGGCCTGTCCCTGGATCTGTCTCCACTCAAGATTCTCTCTTAATCTGTGTGTTTTCAACATCCTTCGGACCTCTGTTTGATCTCTCCATTTGTGTGTGCTTCTAGTTTGAAACGGTCTCCATTCATTTAATCATAGTTTCTTCTATTCAAGCACTCTCTGGTTTAGATGTACCACTGTATTTATATCATCCTAATTATTTAATCTAATTAGAAAATGCAGAAATAAACTGTACACTTGCACATGTAAACCTATGAAGATGTGAGAGGGAGAGTCAAACATCAGCCTCAGACTTCTGGATTAAGCAACTAAATGGAGGTGAGGGTCATCATTAAGATGGGGAAGATTGAGAAGAAAATATTTAGGGGAGAATAACAAGATAATTAGTTTGGACACTTTTAAGTTTGAGGTGTTTCTGAGGCTTGTAGGGAAGGTTACCAAGTTAACACTTACATTCATGATTCAGGAAGTTCTCAGGCTATAGTATTTAAATACGTGAGGCCAGATGACATAACCTCAGGAGAGAGTGAAGAGAATGAGATAGGAAGGTCCAGAACAAAGTCCTGAGGAAATCTGACATTTAATAAGAAAGTAATTCAATATCAGGCAGAAAAACAGGCAGAGGGGCAAGGGCACAGCCAAGAAAATGTATTATCATTAAAGCCAGAAGAACAAAGTTTTGAGAAGGAGGGGCTGTTCAATATTGCTGCAGTGAAGTCTAGCAAGAATAAGGGCTAAAACTGAAACCAAAAATGAAAAAACAAAATAGAATAAGGGCTGAAAGACATCCACTGGATTCTTTGATATGGATATTATTAATACACTTATAAAAGAAATGACCACCTCTATTAAAGCCCATGATGATGAGTAAAGGAACACCATCTGTATTCTTTTAAGAACTAATGTTTTGCCCTGACAAAAAGGGGATATTTTAGATGAATTTGCTTACTTAACTGATAAGTATGTAAATTGCAACTGCAGGGAAAAGTTTAATACATATATAGTTTTTCTAAATCTGCATTAAAAAACCATCTGGCATCACTTAAAAAGTTGAAGATGTACATATCCAATACACCAAAATTTTCCTGTTTAGGTGAAATTCTTTGATGTATATATAAGGAGACATGGTACTGGAATGTTCATAACAAAAGTCTTTATAATATAAAAAGTAAAAACAACAATAACGTCCACTTACAGTAGTATGTATACTGTATATACCAAAAAACATATGCAGTAGTGAAAATCAGTGATTCTCACCTGTACACATCAACATGAATACATCTCAAAAAAATAACATGGAAGAGAAAAAAAGAAAGTCATAAACAAATATCCCCATTATATAAATTTCCCAAATAGGAGAACTTAAACAATATGTAATCTCTGATATATTTTTGTGTGTATGTGTGTGTGTGCATATATATGTTTGGTAGATGATAAAGAAATAAAGGACTAGAAAACTTAGAAATCAGTACAGGGATAACCACGTAAGAACGGAGAAGAGATCAAAGAGTAGTTTTTAAGGCTCAAAGCAGGTATCACCATTGCTCATAATGCCTTATACTAACTAGGTAGAGTTAGTATAAAGAACCGTTAGTATAAAGAACGTTAGTATAAAGAAAGTTAGTAAAAAGAACATGCGTGTTCATTTTATCACTAGTCTTTAAAATACTTATATCCTCATATCCATTATATATTTGTATGCATATACACCTGTGGGTATTATACATGTAATATCTGTGTTGTAATCTTTTTTTTTTTTTTTTTCTGAGATGGAGTCTTGCTCTGTCACCCAGGCTGGAGTGCAGTGGCACGATTTCTCGGCTCACTGCAACCTCCGCCTCCCGGGTTCAAGCAATTCTCCTGCCTCAGCCTCCTGAGTGGCTGGGATTACAGGTACCCACCACCACTCCTGGCTGCTTTTTGTATTTTTAGTAGAGACGGGTTTCGCCATATTTGCAAGGCTGGTCTCGAACTCCTGACTTCACGATCCACCTGCCTTGGACTCCCAAAGTGCTGGTATTATAGGCGTGAGCCACCCTGCTCGGCCATAATCTTTATTTTTTAAAGTGCCTGTATTATAACAATCAGTGCTAAAATTATTTGGTGTATAGCAATTTAATTTTACCAGATTCATACCAATAATTACATTAAGTTAAATAGTCTAACTTCAATTTTATGACTTTGTGGACTTGTTTCTATTTAGCTTGTCAAATTGTTTTGGTTTTATAATTTTGTGAGGCAATAAATATGAGGAAATTGTATCTAAGTTTATATTTCACATAAAGTGTATAAAATAGTAATATTTTACTAAAATTAGTAGTAAGGGAATACTGAAGATTTCTGAAACTTATTTTTCTGTGAAAAATGTCCGTACATCACTCAGCTTTGAGCAACATCAGTACTGAGTTTGAAAAGTGATGAAGCTATAAATGAAAAGAAACCAGATAGAGGGCCAAGTAGTTTCCTACAGCTATTATACATGAGGTGATTATTGAAATCCCAAACACAAATTAACACATTTACATTTGTTTGTACAAGTTGTTGTTTCAAGCATATAGTTATTAAGCATGCTTCATAGCCTTTTGGTACTCAAGCCAAAATCTTTACCCTCAGAGAGAATGATGTCTATAATGTAATGCTCTGTAACTCTGCCTGGAATAAAAAAAAAATTGAAGTTGCAAATCAGCAAATATTGCTACATGGGGGAAAATCTATATTTTAATAAATTTATATTCTTTTCCCAGACACAATTTGAGTTGATAGAAAAAATACCAGGCTTGAAACAAGGACACCTGATTTTTAGTCATGCCTCTGCCAAAAAATAATGAGTTTTGTGACATTGTTAACCATTACTTGAAATCTCTTTCCCCTAAGCTACTCTTCCATAAATGATGAAGTTGGACTACGTTATTTTTTTAAGTTTATTCCAGTTCACGATGATTCTATGCATATATATGTAGGCATATGTACATATATATGTCACATACCATTTCCTCAGCATATAAATTGCACAGACATTCTTTGTATTAAGATATTATCTCAGTCACAAATTCTATTGTGTTCCGCTCACCTAAGATCACCTCACTTTCATGTGATATCCCTGAGGACACTTCTTGAGAGACTCCCATCTGGTGTTCCTTCTGTTCTGCTTAAATTTTCACTTAATTCTAAAAGATCTCAAAGGCTTTTCATTTTAAAACTAACAAAAACAAATCAACAAAACCATATAATAACACATCTCAGGTCTATAGTTTAAACTACGAAATAAATTTACAGAAGAAAATAGAGACAAATGAATATATATTCACTTTTTTCTATGTTAATAGATTTATCAAATCAAAGTCCATCAATATTCCCTTGCAAGTGGTTAGGGAAAAATGGGTAAAGTAAAACAAGAAGTAATCTGGTTTATATTAGTTAGGGAATTCTAGTAATATAGATCACAATTTAAAAACCCTGTTTAATTTTGCAGTGTGGTCTATGTAACTCAACAGCAAGTAAAATAAAATCAATTTTTGGCTTAAGTGCTTTGGGGCTATTAATTTGGGAGATAGTTTTCTAGTGAAATTTAAGGACTTAAGGCTAATTTAGCTAAAGGCTATAGAACAGAAACCCCAGGTGAATGATCTTACATAAGAAAATCATAATGTAAAATTTAAGGAGGGTGAGAACTGAAAAAAATATGTGAAGCATGAATTTAGAGAATTTTCAGCATAATCCATAAAGATAAAAATAAAGTACTTTGTAAAGTCAATTGTAAAATATTACATTGCTTTATCAGTAACTACACTGCTCCTTCGAAGACAGAAACTGAACAGTATCTAGTTACAGGGCATGATATGACAAAACTAGCTTTCTGATAATTAAAAACCAATCCTCTTAGTGCTAAGACTTTGTCAACTTAAGGTTTTTGAGATATGCTCCATTTTCTCCATGACATGCAATAGTGCTTTCTTATGAAGCCAGTAATATCACTACAAGTGCTAACTCAAAAGGGCCAGTAGAGATGTGGGATTAAGAATTGTAGGTCTGGAGTTGGATTCCTAGCTCCCTCAATTCATTGCCATGGTGCCTTGGACAAGCCATTTATGCTTGCTTGGGCTTTTTCTTTACCTGCAAAATAGAGACTCTACCTTCTTAAGGTTTAAGGAAGAATGATTAAGATATTGCACATTTAACACTTAATAACTGTTATCCTTTACTATTATTTTAAGTTTCCCCCCAGCATTGATATTTCATTCTACTCTGTGCTAATCAAACATAAAACAATAATTTTGAAGTTATTTCTAGTCCTATATACTCCATTCTGGAAATGAAAGTTTAGAAATTGACTGTGATGCATAAATAGAAGCTCATGTTATGAAGCATTTGATCCTAGTTCATATGCTAATATTAATAATTTTTTAAATATTTAGTTTAAAAATAATTATCATTTTGGTTTTCTAAAATACTCACCATGTTTTATTTTTATATTACTTAGAAAAACAGATTAATGAATATTCAGCCTGCTGGTATTTAAGACAGTGTAACTTGTCTACCCTTCTAGAATAAGAAAACAAAAATTATTTTCATACTTCCATGAAATCTTGTTCTTCACTGTCACTGATGTTGTCTGTTAACCATTCCTCAGGCTTTGACACTATATCCATTAATCTTTATTATTAAAGGGAGGAAACACATCATGTATACAACATTAAAGGACATTCATGCACTCATTCAACAAGTAAGCAAGCATTCTGGAGCATGTAGCTTTTTTTGTTTGTTTGTTTGTTTGGCTAGGGTCAGCTGTAAGTTCATTACAAATATTAGCTCATTTAATCCTTACAACAACCCAGTAGATGCGTACTTACCCATATTTTACAGCTGAGGAAATTGAAGCACAGCAATAACAAGTAATTTGTTCAAGCTTATACAACTAGGCAGTGATGGTATGAGGATTTGAACCCAGTCAGCATAGCTCCAACATCTACTTTATTGTAAATCTCGCTTGCTTTGCTTATTAGACCACAATGGAGAGATCGGGTCTGATGTTTCAGCCATGTAAGATCATTTTGGAAGCTCATTTGTTCATTAAAAAAAAATCAAAAACACAACTTTACAAAATGCCTTTATAAAATTATTGTCCTTCTAATAGTAGTTAATAGTTATTAAGCACATTCCCTTTGGTAAATACTCTTATAATTGCTTCACATTTACTATCTCAATGTTTTAAGTAACTCTTTGCAGTAAGTAATATTAGTATCTCCATTTCACAGATAAGGGAATTGAGGCACAGAGAGGCTGAATGGCCTGACTTTAGTTACACAGTCATTGAATACAAGGGCCAAAATTCAAACCCACACTTTTAAAACCTACGCTATACTGCCTCACTACAAATAACAAAGTCAAACACCTTTTACCCAAACCATTGTTTTGGGTCTACTTTGAGTGACTTTTAATGCAATGTCTGTTTTAAACAAAGTTTTAAAAGCATTTAGTATTATAACAAATTTAAAAATCCTAATATGTTTCTTTGGATTCACTATCTATGGACGCTCCTTTTGAATCAGTTCATATTCTGAAAAAGATCTTAATTCATTAGTATGCTTTTTTTCAATGAGATAAGAGCTGACAAAAATAAATGAGAAATTCATTCATTTATTAATCCAACAAATGTATCTATCTATCTATCTATCCATCTATCTATCTATCTATCTATTCATCCAGCTAGAGAGTATCCACTATGTGCCAGGCATTATTCTGTGTTGGGGATTCACTGGTGAATAATCTCCATCTTCCTGGATCTTATGCATTAATGAAAATATTCACAAAGCCTTTCTCTGCCTTCTCAGGGTCAGTGTTTTAAGGTGAGGTAGTGGGTGTAGTCAAGGATATCAGCCAGGTTTCTGTTCTGGGCTGATTATGTAGCTGAGGAAACCTATCCTGAGATAGAAAATATAGGAAAGGAAGCAAGTCAATGAGAAAAGATGATAAATTCACTTTAAAAAAAATAAATTTTATTATGTATATTGGAGGCTTGTTGTAAGCCTCAAATGACGAATCTACTTTTGTACCAATTAGTCTAAAGTGCCTGTGGGAAAATCAGGTTGAGATTTCCCTGAGACAATGACTTCATCCCAGAGGCGATGTCTGATAGGTTAGCTGTAGTGGAAGCAATGAAAAGGAATGCGATTATCCTAGAGAGAGTGCAGAATTCTAAAGCCACCTCTCAGAAAACAAAATAGCTCAGGCCCCTCACATACCTTGTAGAAATTGTTGGAATTCTCAGTATGCGTGGAGCAGGGAAGTTTCTAAGATATTATGTCACCGACTTATTTCAGATTCTTCAGCCTCCTTTTATTCCAGTTTGCTAACACTGATTTTTCCCCAGTCCTTCATTTGCCTGGGTATTTATCCTCAGGGTTGTAATTCCATGTAGTTGTCCCCAGACCCCATTTTGTCTGTATCTTTAGTGTGAGTTCTTGTCTCTACCTAGAAGACCATCTCTAATTGCCCCCAGGAAGCTCCTGTTGTCCTGTCCTCCAATTCCTCAAGGAAGGTTTCCCTGACAATTAAGTCTGAGTTAACTTCCCCTAAACAGGATTCCACAGAAACCTGTAGATTTGTGTCTATTCTAGCAAATATTATCTTATTTTTACTGCAATCAGCACTTTGTCTTCTGTCCTCTTCCACTATGGTACATACTCTTTGAAATGATAGATCTTTCTTATTTTGCTTTGTAATCTCCATGGTTTTATCTGCCTCTAGAAGGACTCACAATTTTTTTATGGAATAGCAGGATATTGAATATAATTTTATTTTTGGTTTGTATTAATTTCAATGGAATAAAATTTAGTCTGCATTAGGCTCACTGGTAAAAATGAAAGAAAACACAATTGTTGACAAAAGGATACTCTTGCATTGATTTGGTATCATTTCTGTTGTTTGAGATTGTGTATTATAGAGCCTTATACAGAATGTATCATTTTTTAAACTTTCATATATATCTTTGCTTTTGTCTGTCTCCTTTCCTTTGTCCTTCTCTAAAAAACCTATTAATACAAAGTGGAGAAAATAATCTATAATAATCAAACCTCTTCTTTACTCCTCATTCTTACTACCATTGGCCAGAATTCCCTCTTTTTGCAAACTGTCTTGAGTCAATTTGGCTCTTCAGCTGTCTTCAGGTTTTTTGTAAGCACCTGAAGACTCTGGTAGGTAGATAGTATCTGCCATATCTCCTACCCCACACCCTCACCTGCATGTGGTATATTACAAAGAAAGCAAGCCTAGGTTAAACTCTGTCCAACATGCAAACATATATTAGCCGAGAGGCATAAATAGTTATTACCACCCTTTCATTTAGTCTGGAAAAATTTCACACTGTCCTTAAGCTCTTTAACTCATGTTTTCAATGAAGAGTTAATTTTGAGGCTAACATATGACATTCTGATGGCAGCAATAGCAAATCAGCATTGCGATATAGTCAAGTGACAGCTTCTGTAAAGTGGATGAAGAAAATGACAAATGAGGCTGCATACCAAAAGTCATTCTTTGCTTGCCATACATATTCTTATACTTAATTGGAAAATCTTTCTAAATGACCACAGGATTGGAAAATACTTATTCATATACTAATTAACAAAATATATTTTGTATTTTCATAAGGACATCTGAAGTATTAAGTAACCAATTTTTAAGTGTTACTTTCTGACTAAGATATTTATTTATTGCTTTGTAATGAACTAACTCCAAAACCTTAGTACTTAAAAATAACAGATATAACTTATTTCCTCACAGTTCTGCAATTTTGCTAAGAGTCAGTGAAGAGAACTCTTTTTTGCTCCACTTGGAATCTTTTAGGAATGAAATGTCCAAAATGACCTTTTCATTTACGTGTCTCAGCAAAGACAGTTGAAAAAGAAGACTGACTAGACTGCCGGCTCTCTCCCTCTCCCTGTCTCTGTCTCTCTCATTCTCTCCATAGTACCTTTCTGTATGCTTAGCTGGGACTACTTTACCGTTTGGCAGCTTCAGGGTACTAGATTTCTCCCAAACATAAAAGCATAAGCTAAGATGGGAGACGAGCAGCAGCTCTTGTATGCCACTCTCACGTAGAGGAAACAAAAGGGCCAGTGAGCAGTGGCCCTGTAAGGCTGATCATCTGAGAAACTAGTTGGGATCAATTAAAGCAGAAGGGGAACACAAGAAGCAGAGAAGAGCAAAGCTGGGCACCCGCCTATCTGGCCTCAGCATGGAGCTAGGAAAACATCTCCAACATGGGAAAGGGTGAATAAGTGAGAGTGCCCAGGGGCATTCATGCTCTCCACAGGGATCTGTGCAAGACTGGGATAGAGAAAATCCCCCAGCTCCCCTGCACCCACCCCACACCCACCAGCCTTCTACACTGAAGCAGAGAACCACTTGGATGTTATGCAGAGGTAATTCTCAAGTTCAAAAGGACTTCTACAAGCCTTGGGCCACAAAGCCTGCCAGCACTGGTGCCATAGACCCAATAGAGGCCATAGTTGTGGTGCCTCGTATTAGATTGCTCCAACCCCCAGGCCCTAACCCCCACACCACTCATCCCCCACCCCCCACACCTCCACCCTCCCATACCCCCCGCCAACCCTACCAAAGGGAATTTGGCACCAGCTTTCAGCCCAGTGGTCTCCCTTCACCCTGAACTGGGCCAGCCACTTTACCTGCCCCGCCACTAGTAGCCACGTAGGCAATGCTTGCTAGAGTTTCCAGCCAAGTGGTCCTGCTTCTGTGTGAACTCAACTGGAGAGTGCAGCTAGAAGCACCTGGAAGGGCAGGCATCCCCACACACCCCAGCTGCTGATAGCCAGGCAGCTAATGCCTATTAGCTCTTCTGACCCTGTGGTCCTGCTTCTGTAAAACTCAGCTGGAGAGCACGGCTTCTATTGTCCCAGGAAACATGGAAAGCAGGGTGCATGACCCACCCACCTCCACCGATAGCCAGGTGGGAAAAGCCTACTAGAGCTTCTGGTCCAACGGTCCTGCTTCTATGGGAACTTAGCTGGCAGGCATAGACTTCTTTTGTCCCTGGAGGAACCCAGATGCTCTACCCACCCCTCCTGCTGATAGCCAGGTGAGCCATACCTGCTAGAGCTTCTGGCTCAGCCGTCCTACTTCTTCCTGAATTTGCCAAGGGGCACAGCTTCCTGTTGCCTTGGAAACACCCGGATGGCAGGGCAGGCAACTCCACCCACACCAACCTCTCCTTGCTAGACAGGCTACACCCACTAGAGCTTCCAACCCAGTGGTCCCAATTCCACCTAAACTCTGCATGCAGGCACAATCCTCTGTTTCACATGAAGCACACAGACAGCAGTTTAGGGCCAACCTGACAATACAGCTTGTCTGCCAACAGCAGCCCCTGCCTGAAGGATCCTTGTGGGCCAGAACAAAAGAAATGTGGGCATGGAGACAGTAATCAGAGAGGGCTCCTCCAAGACCCAGGAGTGGACTAGAAGTGAAGCCATTCAACCAAGCACACCTATACCATAATCAACCCCTCAAAGAAGAAAACAACAACAACAATAAAATCCATCCAAAGGACAGCAACTTCAAAGATTGAAAGAACATAATCCCCACAAATAAGGAAAAAACAGCACAATAACTCTGGAAACTCAAAAAGCCAGAGTGTCTTCTTACCTCCAAACAACCACAATAGCTCCCTAGCAATGGTTCTCAACCAAGCTAAAATGGCTGAAATGTCAGAAACATAATTAAGAATATGGATAGGAATAAAGATTATCAACATACAGGAGAGAGTCAAAACCCAACCAAATCTAAGGATTACAATAAAACAGTATAGGAGCTGGTAGACAAAATGGCCATTATAAGAAAGAGCCAACTGATTTTATGGAGAAGAAAAACACACTAGAAAAATTTCATAATGCAATCACAAGTATTAACAGCAGAATTGACCAAACTTTAACAGCAGAATTGACCAAACTGAGGAAACAATCTCAGAGTTTAAATACTGGCTCTCCAAAATAAATTAGTCAGACAAAAATAAAGGAAAAACAATAAAGAATGAACAAAATCTCTGACAAATATGGGATTATGTAAAGAGACCAAATCTGTAACTCATTTGTGTCCCTGCAAAAGAGGGTTAAAAGCTAAGCAACTTGGAAATCACATTTCAGGATATCATCCATGAAAATTTCCCCAACCTTACTAGAGAGGTCAACATTCAAATCAAAATGCAGAGAAACCCTGCAAAATACTACACCATCCCCAAGAAGACCACCCCCAAGACACAGAGACATCAGATTCTCCAATGTGGAGATGAAAGAAAAAATGTTAAAGGCAGCTAGAAAGTAGGGGCAGGTTACCCACAGAGGATACCCTGTCAGGCTAACAGCAGACTTGTCAGCAGAAACCCTACAAATCAGAAGAGATTGGGGGCATATATTCAGCATTCTTAAAGAAAATAATTTTCATCCAAGGATTTCATATTCAGCCAAAGTAAGCTTCGTAAGCAAAGGAGAAATAAGACCCTTTTCAGCCAATCAAATGCTGAGAGAATTTTTTACCACCAGACCTACCTTACAAAAAGTCCTGAAGGGAGGGCTAAATATGGAAAGGAAAAGACCATTCCTGGCCACTACAAAAAAAAAAAAAAAAAAAAAAAAAAAAAACACAAGTATACAGACCAGTGATGCTATAAAGCAGCCACACAAACAAGTCTGCATAATAACCAGCTAACAACATGATGACAAGATCAAATCTGCACATGTCAATACATGTTCACTTGAAAGTGAACAGTCTAAATGCTTCAATTAAAAGGCACAGAGTGGAAGATTAGATAAAGAAGCAAAACCCAATGTTATTCTGTCTTCAGGAGACCAATCTCACACGCAGTGACACCCATAGGCTGAAATAAAAGGGATGGAGAAAAACCTACCATGCAAATGGAAAACAAAAAGGCAAGGGGTGCTCTTTTAATTTTAGACAACACAGATTTTAAACCAACAAGGATTTAAAAAAAAGACAAAGAAGTGCATTTACATAATGGTAAAGGTCTAATTCAACTAGAAGACCTAACTGTCCTAAAAAAATATGTACCCAACACAGGAGCATTCAGATTCATAGATCAAGCTCTTAGAGACCTAAAAAGAGACTTAGATGACCACAGAATAATAGTGGAAGACTTGAACACCCCATTGACAGTATTAGACAGATCATCAAGGCAGAAAATTAACAAAGATATTTGGGATCTCAATTCAACTTGACCAAATAGACCTAATAAACATACTATAGAACTCTCCTCCCAATACCAACAGAATATGCCTTCTTCTGATCCACACATGCCACATACGCTAAAATTACCCACACAATCAGGCATAAAACAATTCTCAATTAATTTCTAAAAACCCAAAATTGTTCCAACCATGCTCTCAGAATATGGCACAATAAAAATAGAAACCAATGCAAAAAAAAAAAACCAACCATAAAATTACATAGAAATCAAACAACCTGCTCCTGAATGACTTCTGGGTAAACAAAAAAATAAGTCAGAAATTAAGAAATTCTTTGAAACTAATGGAAAAACAATACAACATTCCAGAATCTCTGGGATATAGCCAAAGCAGTGTTCCAAGGGAAACTTATAGCACTAAACACTTACATCAAAAAGTTAGGAAGATCTCAAATAAACAACCTAACATCACAATTAGAGGAACTAGAAAAACAAGAGCAAACCAACCCCAAGGCTAGCAGAAGACAAGAAATAACCCAAATCATAGCTAAATTGAAGGAAAGTAAGATTCAAAAAACCATAAAGGATCAATGAATTTAGGAGCTTGCTCTTTGAAAGAATTAATATGATAGATAGACTGCTAGCTAGACTAATGAAGAAAAACAGAAGATCCAAATAAACGCAATCAGAAATGACAAAGGGGACATTGCCACTGAACCCACAGAAATACAAAAAACTGTCAGAGACTATTATGAACACTTCTATGCATGCGAGCTAGACAACATAGTAGAAATGGAAAAATTCCTGGAAACATACAACCACACAAGATTGAACCGAGAAGAGATTGAATCCCTGAACAGACCAATAACAAGTTCCAAAATTGAATCATTAATAAAAACCCTACAAACTAGAAATAACCCAGGACCAGATGAATTTACAGCCAAATTCTACCAGATGTATAAGGAAGAGCTGGTACTATTAATACTGAAACTATTCTGAAAAAATGAGGAGGGGGGATTTCTCCCTAACTCATTCTGTGAGGCCAAAATCATCTTGATGCCAAAACCTGGAAGAGACACAACATAAAAATAAAACTTTGGCCAATATCCTTGAAGAACATAGATGCAAAAATTCTAAACAAAACACTAGCAAACCAAATTCAGCAGCACATCAAAAAGCTAATCCACCATGATCAAGTAGGCTCTGTCTCTGGAATGCAAGGTTGGTTTAGCATACACAAATCAATAAATGTGATTCACCACATAAACAGAATTAAAAATAACCACATGGACATCACAATAGATAATGAAAAGGCTTTCAATAAAATCCACATCCCTTCATGTTAAAAACCCTCAACAAACTAGGCATTTGAAGGACAATACTTCAAAATAATAAGAGCCATCTATGACAAATACATAGTATCATACTGAATGGGCTAAAGCTGGAAATAATCCCCTTGAAAACTGGCACAAGACAAGGATGCCCTCTCTCACCACTCCTATTCAGTAGTACTGGAATTCCTAGCCAAAGCAATTATGCAAGAGAAAGAAATAAAACACATCCAAATAGGAAGAAAGGAAGTCAAACTATCCCTGTTTGCAGACAATATGATTCTATACCAAGAAAACTCCATAGTCTCTGCCCTAAAGCTCCATGACCTTATAAACAACTTTGGCAAAGTTTTAGGATATAAAATCAATGTACAAAAATCAGTAGCAGTCCTATACAACAACAATATCCAAGGTGAAATCCAAATCAAGAATGCAATCCCATTCACAATAGCCACAAAAAGAATAAAATACCTAGGAATACAGCTCTACAATAGAGCTTTAGGACAAAGACTATGGGATTTTCTTGGTATAGAATCCTATTGTCTGCAAACAGGGATATCGTGGCTATTTTATTGGTGTCTGTTTTGATCAATGTTCTGTAATTTTCACTGTAGAGGTGAAAGACTTCTAAATGAGAATTACAAATCATTGCTCAAAGAAACCAAGGATGACAGAAACAAATGAAAACACATTCCATGCTCATAGACGGGAAGAACCAATATTGTGAAAGTGGTCATACTGCCTAAAGTAATTCACAGATTAAATGCTATTCCCATTCAACTACCAGTGACATTCTTCAAAGAATTAGAAAAAACTTTTAAAATTCATGTGGAACCAAAAAAGAGCCTGAATAGCCAAGGCAATGCTAAGCCAAAGACCAAAGCTGAAGTGATCACATTACCAGACTATACTACAAGGCTACAATAACCAAAACAAGATGGCAGTGGTATAAAAATAGACACATAGAACAATGGAACAAAATCGAGAGCCCAGAAATAATGCTGTACACCTATAACTATCTGATTGACAAAACTGACATAAACAAGTAATAGGGAAAGGACTCCCTATTTGATAAACTGGTGCTGGAATAACTATTTGACAAATGGTTCTGGAATAGCCATATGCAGAAGATTGGAACTAGACCCTTTCCTTATACCATATACAAAAATTAACTCAAGGTGGTTAAAAGACTTAAGTGTAACCCTCAAACTATAAAATCCCTGGAAGATAACCTAGGAAATACCATTCTCAACATAGGACCTGGTAAGGATTACATGAGGCAGACACTAAGAGCAATTGCATCAAAAACAAAAGCTGACAAATGGGACCTAATTAAGCTAAAGAGCTCCTGCACAGCAAAGGAAATATCAACAAAGTAAACCAACAAACTACAGAATGAGGGAAAATATTTGAAAACTATGCATACAGCAAAGGTCTAGTATCCAGAATCTATAAGAAATTTGAAGAAATTTACAAGCAAAAACAACCCCATTTAAAAATGGGCAAAGGACATGAACAAACAGTTTTCAAAAGAAGACACACATGTGGGCAACAAACATATGAAAAATGCTCAAAATCACTAATCATTAGAGAAATGCAAATCAAAACCACAATGAGATGCAGTCTCACACCATCAGAATGGCTATTATTAAAAAGTAAAAAAATAACATGCTGGCAAGGCTACAGAGAAAAGAGAATACTTATATACTGCTGGTGACAATGCAAATTAGTTGGCAATTTCTCAACGAACTTAAAAAAATTACCATTCAACAAGCAATCCCATTATTGGATTCCTAGAAGAATATAAATCATTCTAACCTAAAGACACGTGCACATATGTTTATCGCAGCACTATTCACAAAGAGCAAGGCAAAGACATGGAATCAAAGTAAGTGCCTGTCAATGGTAGACTGGATTAAAAATATGTGGTACATATACACCACGAAAGAAGTCATAAATAAGAATGCTATCATGTCCTTTGAAGCAACATGGATGGAGCAGGAGGCCATTATTGTGAACAAACTAACACAGGAACAGAAAGCCAAACACCACATGTTTTCACTTACAAGTGAGAACTAAACTTTGAGCACCTGTGGACGCAGACGAGAACAACAGACACCAGGACCTACTTGAAGGCGGAGGGTGGCAAGAGGTTGAGGATCGAAAAACTACCTATTGGATACTACGCTTATTACCTGGATGATGAAATAATCTGTACACCAAACCCCCACCACACACAATTTACCTATATAACAAACATGTATATGTATGCCTGAACCTAAAATAAAAGTTAAACAAAAGTAGAAGATGTCAGGCTCCTTGTGTCTAGGCTCAAATATTCCAGAATGCTGCATTCAGTTGGTCAAAGTTTGCACAGGACAAACCCAGATTCAAGATGAGTGGCACAAGATCTAACCTTAAAGAAGTAATGCTATGGTCACATTGTGGAAGAGCTGTGGGAAGGGAGCCTCAGGGTAGCTCCCCACGCTGCCGTTGCATAAGTACAGCTCTTCAATGCAGCCGCTCTGAATTCAATGACATATGCAATATAGAATACATTATCTCATCCCCGTAGACCCCATTCACAATGTAAAAAGATCAAAGATAACAGCCATAATTTTTTTTTTTTCTGAAATCCAACTAGGTGTTTATCACCACTTCCTATTTTAGAAACTTTGCTATATGCCCTGGGAGTGGCTCTTAGACACACTCTCTGGTATCTGTGTTCCATCCTCCCTCTCTTTCCAAAAACACTGAATTAAGTTGTAACTGAATAGCTTTCTTTAATAAGTTGAAGAATAGGAGAGCAGAAGTCTCTATATTTTGACCCATCTCTGTCCATTGTATTACAAATATATATAATTTTTTTAGTTGTGGGTTTCCTTGCTATTAGATAAGTGGTTCATACCCTTAGAAAAAAGCCACACTTATGAATCTCCTTAAGACACATTTCTTTCTATTTTGGGCTTGGATCAGTGTCCATGAGATTCTCATGAGCCATTTTTGCTAGGAAGAGAGGATCTATAAAGCATACTTAATATATTCATATGCCCATTTCCTCAGCAGAGACTCTTTAGGAAATGCCACCTTAAATCTTTCTGAGGTTTCAAAAAAGTTAAACCTTTGTTTTGGTATTTATTATGAGGCTAAATTTGGTGAAATCACTTGGGATTCGACCATTGTTCTGTAACTATTTTTTACTTTGATAATCTTTTCTATTTTTAAGCAAGAATGAGGATGAGAAACAGTTTATTTTCAAATCTGACATGTCCAAGCTCCTTTATATTGCACTAAATTCTTCTTAAACGCTGAACATTCTTTCCACATCTCATTCCTTCTAAACTTTGTCATAATCAACTAAAAGAACTTTGTCATGATCAACGAAAAGAAATGCAACTAAAAAGAGCAAGCACTTTCAACAGCCTAGAAATCTTCCTACTCAGATCACAAGATCATTAAGTTTTCTTCCTATTGTCCACATTGCCACAGGTATTAATTTTGCTAATTTTTTTTCTGCCAGTAGATCACTCAGGATCCCTGTTCTCTGGCCTTCAATAGCAACCTCATCCTGTTCTTGCAACCTTTGCTAACAGCCTCCTTGAGAATCTTAAAATCTCTACCCAATACCTGGTCCCCAAAATAAGGCAATATGCTTTACCCTTTTGTTCAAACATCATCCCACTCTTAGATATCAATTTATTTTATGTACAGAAAATAAATTGTTTGCAAATGGCATAAAATGACAAATTTTTTAAATGTTAGTGGGTTAAAGCAATAGATAAAATTTATTTGCTTACAGTTCAGCCATTTGGTTGGTCTAGTGAGGATCTCTATCTCTCTCTCTTTCTCACCTATTGCCAGTCCATATGGCTAGCTTGACATTTTTATTGTAAAACATGACCATCTCAACTTTCTTGGACTTCTTACATGGTAGCTCCCTTTTTGGAGCACAAAAGCAGACACTGCCAGGCCTTCTTAATTTCTAAGCTCCTGAAATATCACTATTTGGGGAGTCCTAAAATGTTACCTCTGTTACTTTCATAATGCTGTCACTGAGTCAACCAATATTAACGGGAAAGAAAACTTCACTTCACTTCCTAATGGCAGAAGAGCAAATTCAACCTGAAAAAATTAATGTAGGATAAAGATAAGGTTGCAGACTTAGTTATGTGATCTACAAAACCTTAAAATATTAACCAAATATTCCTAAGGTATAGATGAAAAGTAATTCAGGCACATACATCCATCATGCTATTTATACTAACATATTTTCAAATTACAAACAATATAATTCTCTGAACTCTGTTCTAGTTAGTGCTTCTGCAGATTACAGTAGTCCTTCCTTTTCTGCAGTTTCAAATTCCATGGCTTCAGTTACCTGTGTACAACCACAGTCCAAATATATTACAGTATTCTGAGAGGAAGAGAGAGAGATGACATTCATGTAATTCTTAATATAGTATATTGTTATAATTGTTCTAGTTTATACTTGACTATTGTTATTAATATTTTATTGTGTCTAATTTATAAATTAAACTTTATCATAGGTATATATGTATGCAAAAAGTTATATACTGTTTAAGGTTCAATATTATTCTCAGTTCACCATATCACCCATGAATAAGGGGGGACTACTGTACAAATGAATTGCCCTTTATTTGGAGTGGCACACTCTCAGTGCAGAGATGTCAAAGACTGCTGGTTGTAACTTTCCTGTGAGTGTCCATGGCTGCTCTTATACGTTGTCTTACTCCCATAAAAGTGGCCTGATTTTCCAGAGCTTCAGAGGCACACCTAAGAGTGATGGAGGGGCTGAGACATAGCTTGCCCTATGGTGATGTTCTAGTTGATAGTTCCCCTCTCTCCTCTCTAAGAGCTCTCTTGAGTCTCTGCTGACACAGCTTCAAACTATAGAGATGTATGTCACCCATGTGTTGCCAATTCTGATTATTTCTGCTCTATATGTAGCCTAGCACTCACTTCCCTCCTTTTTCTCTATTTCTTCTGTATTCCTGCTTTTTTCTCTCATTTGCTAGCCAGTAGCTCATTCTTCTATTGCCATTGCCCATGTTCCTTAGGTTATTGTAACTATTTCCAGTTGAAAAGAATCTTTTGTGTGTCATTATTTTTTATTTCTTTCTTTGATCATTTTAATCACTTCCTAACTTCACCATCATGTTTACTTTTCCTTGATATTCTTCTGAATGGTTGAATTTATGTCTGAACACAAGTAAATTGAATGATACTCGAAGAGTAAAAAAAACAAAAACTTATAAGAACAATAAAAATTCCATTAAAAATAGTCATCTTTTACTAATTATACAGGTTATTTTTATTTTTATAGATTTAGGGGTACCAGTGCTGTTGTGTTACATGAATATATTGTGCAGTAATGAAGTCTGAGCATTTAGTGTACCTATCACCCAAATAGTGTACATTGTACACAATAGGAAGTATTTCATCCCTCACCCCACTCCCACCCACCCACCTTTTAAAGTTTCCAATGTCTATTATTCCACTCTAATTGTACAGTTTTCTTTAAAATGTAAAAGTGGGTAAACATTCTTCAATATAAATTCCAAGATCCACTTAATTTGGGTTAATTAGATTGATTTTTCTAATAATTAGATACATTTTAAAGGTAGAAAAGCCTTTAAAACATGTTACTGCAGCCTGAGATTTATTCACCATTAGCAGGGAAGAGAAAGGGAAATAAATTTTTATCTGTTTTGAGTACCACATTTTTTATTCTCCTACGTTTAAGCAAGAAACTTTTTCACAAAAATAAGCAAATGTTTATTGTTATTTTGCATGTATGCTATATTCATAATGTTCTTGAATTTGGGGTTTAAATAATTAGAAACACATACAAAATTTTAGTTGAAAGTCAGCTTAGAGATCATAGAGTTTAAATCCCTGATTCTATATTATAGAAAACTAAGAGTAAAATGACTGAACTAAGTTTACACAGCTACTAAGAACAGAAACAGAAGAACCAAAGTCAGCCATGGCCAAGATACTAATAAGTCTGTTTCTTGGTCTTTATGGAGAATTTTTTATGGAATTACGTGGTCCCTAGATTTTTCTTGGCCAGAAATTTGGTAAAGGAAACAGGAAAAAGCCTAGAGACTAAATTTCTATGGATAAGAAATAATCAACTGTACAGGGAAAAAAACTGAAATGTTGAAGATGATAGATAAGGGCTGCATGATGTGTGTCATAAAAGGCTGAAGATAAGACAGGGTAGAGAGATGAACGAAGCTCTGGGCCAGCTATTAAAAATGTGGGGTTTATGGAGAGGAAAGAATGTATAAATATACATCTTAGAAAATCTTGTTGTATGACTACACTTATTCTGCCTCCCTTTGGTCTTTATAAATCTTCAGTAGATATACTGTACATTTTAATATGATTTTGATGTTGTTCGCATTTATTTTTGCTGTGATAAAGTTAAATGTAAGAAATGAGAAAGATTGTTTAATAAGTTATAGTTAGTTCAAGACATCTTGCATAAATTGTGTTGCACTTCTGACACACTATTTGGTAGATTGACGATGATTTTGCATAGCTTTTAATGAAATAATAGTAAACGTGTATTGACGACATGTTCAGAGCCAGAAGGCCTGTTAAGCACATTACAAAAAAACAAGTAACTTAACTTATCACAGCTCTAAGCGGCAGAATCTGTTACTATTTCCATTTAAAAACAAAGAAATTAAACTAATGTCAGAAATATTAAATAATATGTCTAAGTCACAGTTAATAGGTTGCACAGGGGAAAAACGTGATCAAGACATGAAAACATTCATTAATGAAGTCACCACCAAGTCCCTGCCACTCAAGCATGCCTCTCAGCTTAACATCAGTGTGCAATTTAACCGATCACATCAATGCCAAAGTCTAAGTCCACTTTATTTTTTTGCCAACTGTCCAATGTTGAAACACAGGGCAAATCCTATGCAATTGTTTATAAAATAAAAAAATGTATATCTTACAAAAGATAAAGGCTTTCTCAGTGTTGATTAAATCGACATTGAAAACCACTTGATTATATGCAGAATCACAAATAAATGAGAATATTGCAGGATTATATCAGTTAAGAATTGAAGAAAAGAAAGTCTAGCCCACATACACCTGTGGTCCCAGCTCTTCTGGAGGTTAAGGTGGGAGGATTGCTTGAGCCTGGGAGACCAAGGCTGCAGTAGTGAGCCATGATCACACACTGCACAAAAAAAAAAGAAAGAGAAAATGAAAGAAAATGAAACAGAAAAAGAAGGAAAGAAGGAAAAAGAAAGGAAAGAGAAAGAAAGAAAATTGACAAGGATATTCACATGATAGGCACTTTAAAAGAGAATGATGTAAATTTTAACAGATTAAATGAAGCTCTGGATAAAACTGATGAAGTCTTAGAGTGGCTTTATAATAATAACCTAACTTGTGACACTACTGTTGAAGTAAAAATCAAAGTAAATACATTACTTCATATTATTTTATAGTTTTAGTAGAGGGTTATGTCCTCTCACACTGACACTGCCAAAAATAAAGAAAAGAAAAACCTCAGGAATGATACATTCCTCATTCATTCTTGGTCTATTCTAATAATTAAAGAATAATTATATTTTCTGTAATTTGTTGAATATAAACTATAAAATCAGAACCTTGTATCTTGAGATAATATCACAAGAAAATACTTCTGCATATTTACTATGAAATTTTTGTGACATTTGTGGATAGATTGTTTTCAAGTGGTCTTGTCAGAATACCGGTTATTCTTAGCTTCTTTATTAGCAACCTCTACTTTTGGAAAGAAAGAAGTCTTCAACATCATTAGGAAAAATTATTTAGACCCTTTCTTTTTTGTAACTTAAATAACTATTATGCCTGTGGAAAGTATACTCTAGTGTTTTAAACATTATTTTATGAATTTCTATTAAAATTAGAGTATATGATCTAGAAATGTGTTCCTATACTTACGTTTAGTTATTTTCTGTATAGATTTTGTTGCTTATGCAAATTATTTTTCTATGTCTTACTGTTGTCATTTCTACTTATTATCTGAAGGCAAGTAGTTGATGTTGAAGATGTTGAAGCTGAAGCTTTTCTATAAAATTATGAGGAGATAAATGGCAGCACCAGCTCCTACAAAAATATTCTTGAAGGTTTCTTCCAGGCTATTTGATATCATCTCTCTAAACTTAATGTTCAAACAATCCCATATAAACAAAATTAAAAATTTTTCTGGAAAAATTTGACTAAACAATCTAAAGCTATCAGGCAATATAAAATTCAACTTACTCCAATTGCAAGAAAGCAAAGATGCTTCTGAGGAAATGCTTAAATGACATAATAATAGCATGGCCTATTTCTAAATGTCATTTCCATGTACACATCCAACTTACATTTAAAGTAATAATTGCCTTAATCAAGAGAGTGGAGGGAAAATGAAAATATCTAACTCTCACATTGAAACAATGATGAGTGCAATTATATGTGTATGTAAGTGTGTATGTGTTGTGTCCTAAATTATAAGCAACTTTGAAGAAAAAAAATGCAATTGTTAAAGGAATACTTTTGTGATCATATTTTCCTCAAGCCCAAAAGAAGATCTTCTTATTTGTGTTAGGTTTGTGAAAATTTGTTTTGAAAGATAGTTGCTTTTATTACAGCAACAATACAACTAGAATATTTAATTAAAATGATCAAAAATGAGCCTGATTGTAGACTAAAAAATGTTAATACTATTTTAAAGTGATATTTTGTATCATATGGACTATATTATCTTCTTCAAATTAAGCTGCATTGTGAATGCTTCCCTGGCCCCTCAGTCACAATCCATCTTTTCCTTATTCGTATTCCTATAACATTGTTTACACATTCCTTTAGTAGTTATCATATCGCTCTGCAGTCAGTTTACTTGTCCATGAATTTTCCGGACAGCAGTTTGCTGGAAACACTCATGAAATTTTATTTTCATTTCTATCCATAGGATTTTGGACAGGGCCTTGCACATAGTAGGCACAAAAAAAAACCATATTTTCTGATTAAATCATAAAGAAAAGTTTTATCTAAAAATGTATTCTTATACTTCTTAGCACAGTGATGTGATAATCAAAATATATAGTTCCATATTCTTTGGAGCAAAATTTTCCAGGAAGGGTCACTTTTTGGGTGCACTATTATGTTAAAAATAAAACAAACCTACAGCATGTTTGTTTCTCCCTGAGATTGATTTTCCTCAGGTTTTCAAGGAAAAACACTTCTGGGTCCCTTTGCTGCAAAAGGGCTGGATCAGCTAAGCTTCTTTTTTGTTTGCTTGTTTGTTGTACATCTGAGAGCCCACAAGGAATAGGAGCATGCTAACATATTGCACTGAAAAGTTAAGTCCCTTAAAATCTGTCTTTCTTTAAGAAATGGTTACTTTCTCTGGCATTCACTAACCTAGCTAGTACATTTTATGAGTAACAGGAATATTGGTGTTCTATTTAGCATTCAGCAGGCCCAACTGCATATAGAAATAGAACTGTGGCTTTATGACTATGCTGCATATATATTTTGTAATAACACAAATTAAGAGAGAAACAAATTTTTCCTCTAAAGTTTCATATTGGGCTTCCTGAAACTGAAACTACTATCTCATAATTGAATTTCCAAAAATTTTAACCTGACAAAAAAATGTATTCACAGCTGAGAAAAATAACAAGGACTACCTCTCCCTCTCATATGTTACTTCCAGGTCAGGAATAGCACCAAGTCTAGTGTACCAAGAAGGTCTAGCCCAAGAGGTAGGTCATGATAATGACATAGCGGCACACAAGAAGGCCGAGTAACTTCTCAGCTAGTGTAGAGCATCTCCAGTGATGGCCTGTGTTCACTTCTTCAGTTTAGGGGTGTAGCGTGCCCCTCCAAATATCACAACATGAGGTCAGAGTGTGGAAAAATATGTGAAGTTAGAATTTTCATAGAATGGTCTAAATATATACAACCAAGTGGTTGTGAAAGACAAATTGAAGATCTGTTTCCTCTAGTAGTTAGTTTCCTCATGTCCATTTTTGGGATAGTATCTACATTAGAATTAGAATAATGAGAATAAAAGTTCCTGCTAAGAGAACGTAAACGTGTACAATAAATGTGTTCACATATTTAGTGTTTTAGTTTTTCTTTTTAAAGTGATAAAGATCTTTTGACCCCTATTCAGAGAATTGCCCATATTATGAAGAAACTTGAAACCATTTGAGGAAGGTTAGTAGAGCTTCAGAGAGTTACAATTTTCCAAATAGTGACTGGATTGGTATATGGAAAAGAGATGATACTTGCTTTACATGGTATTAAAAAGCAAAATGAGGATGATTATGGACTGAATGTGTCCCTCAAAATTCATATGTCCAAGCCCTAATCCCCAATGTGACTGTATTTGGAAATGGGGAAGTGACCAATGTTCAGTGAGGTGATAAGGATGGGGCCCTAATCCAATAGGGTTGTTGCCCTTAAGAGAAAGAAGCTAGAGATCTCTATCTCCTTCAACCATTTGAGGACACAGTGAGAAAGAGGCCATCTGCAAGCCAGGAAGAGAATTCTTACCAGAAACCGAATTCACTGGCACCCCAATCTTTGAATTTCTAGCTTCCAGAACTCTGATTGAGCAAATATTCTGTTGTTGAAGCCACCCAGTCTATGGCCCTTTGTTACAGATGCCGAAGAACTGAGATAAGGACTAATGAAGTGGTTATAGGAAGACAGATTTTATTGTAAAGTACGAATGTATTTCAGAGTCTAAGAACAAATGACATACTTCAAGTGGTACAGAATTTTCCATAACTGAAGAAATCTAGACATAGGCCAGCAAACCATTTTACAGGGAGTTTATCAAAGCTATTCAAATATGAGAAGTATTTAAATTGGGTTAATGGTTCCCAAACATTGATTAATAAACAAATGCATTCTCATTATTCTTGGGTAAAATAAGAATTTTTCTTTCAATTTCATAAATTTATTTAAAAATTGGAACATTTTAAATCTTATATTATCTTTTCTATTTTTTTGGCAACAGAATATTCTTTACTTAAAACCATAATACAAGCATATGAGAGTTGTTAATGCTCTTGTTGAGAAAAATAATAAGTGGACAACCTAACATAAGTCTTCTTAATATTTTTTGACATTTGAATTGTCTGTGATATCTGCATGTCTAGAAGAATGGGATAAGAGGACCATTATTTTCTCTTAAATGCCCGAAACTTTTAAATTCTCCCTCTTTATGCCCAGTAATATAGGAAAAATAGGATATTGTATGAAAGGGAAACCCATGCATAAATTTCTCTTTGATGACAAAATTATGGATGATCAAGAAACTAGACTCACTTGGCCACTGATCGTAGCAACTTCTCAGTTAGTATTTGACATTTCTTCTGCTTTGACAAATGCTGCTGTCTATCCTATTACTGCTTTGCCTACTCTCAACTATGAATTTCTTCAGTTTCCATTTTCTGGCATTGAATTCTTGGCATATTTTAGATACTGTCTCAACTCAACATGACCCCAGATTATTCCTATCTGCATGTATATTTGCCATACGCCATAAACCGTGTGACTTGGTTTTTGGAATAGACCCTGAAAAGTGAAGAGAGCCAACTTCCAATAGTCCAGCAAAGGCACTGCAATCCTCATTCATGGCTAACATAGAAATGATGGGAAAGGTTTTCATCCTGAGATCTGAGGGTGGCTAGTTTGGCAGTGGAGATTGAATATTCTTGTACTGGAAGACCCCACATGAAGCTACTCAGACCACACTCCTTGGGAAGGAATTGCATCCCAAATACCTGTAGGTACCAGAGCACTTTGGTGATGTATTGCAGTTGCTCTCTTTTTATGTGCAATTCAACACTATATTGTCCACCAAGTTTTGCCACTTTGAAGCAGGTTTAACATACCAGGAAGAGTTCAGAAGCATCATAACTTTCTGGCACCCTCTGGTGAAAGAGCCTTTCAGATGCTATTTTGACAGTCTCTATCAAGCTGCAAGCACTGATGCACAAACACCCATGGACACAGATTGGCAAAGGGACCAGGAATAGACACCACCTGGGCAAATGAAACAAGTTTAGCTTTTCTAAATGGCACAGAAAGAATTCAGTACAGACAGGATATTCAATCAGGAATTCATCATCATTATCCAATAACAGGAGACATATCCATTTTAGTCACCAAAAGACATGGCTCCCATCAGACCTTCTGGAAATTTCCCTGATTTCTTCAGTCACAGCTCCATATACTTGAATGCAATCTGTAAAGAACACAGCCTTGCTTGAATAACTAATGGAAAATACTCTTCCTTGGCTAGGTTTACTTAATCAGTCTTGGCATTAGACTACATCAGTGGTGAAAAAAACACTGCTCTTGGGCAAAATCTGACCTGCCACCTGTTTACAAGTTAAAGTTTTGTTGCAACACAGCCACCACACTTTTAATGTATTGTCTTGTGCTACTTCACACTACAGGGGCATATCTGAGTAGTTGAGACAGAGACCAAGTGGCCCTCAAATCCCAAAACTTGTTCTCTGTCCCTTTATGGAAAAAGTTTCCTGGCCCCAGTATTACATAACTAGAATCAGAACACTTAGGCCTGAACCACTTTGCTTCCTTTCCCAACAGGCTTTCAAAATTTCGTTCACACACATCCCTTTATGTAATGCTTCAAAAGTAGAAAAAGGGTAAGTTAGCCAGATATGTCTGAAAGTTGAGAAACATCCTCCACATTTTTGCCAGAGCCTTGAAAAAAATATTTAGAATTAGTGGCAAAGAAGGATAGGTAATTTCTTTGTAGCCCTTTCAGATGAAAAATAAAAATATCACTTGTCATCTATCAACTCAATTTATTTGGCAGTAGAACTTGTGGTTTCTTAAAGTGGAAATAAGAGGCTGCTCATACACAGACACAGTTGTTGTTATTGTTTACTTTATGTGGTATTTATGATGTTCTCTAAAAAAGGTCATTGACAATTGTCTATATAATTCTGTCATAAGAAACAAATGACCAGAGTCTGAATTCATATTATCTTCACTTCCATTTTTGATGTAGTTTTTTCACTACATATTTTAATTATTTTGTTTTGATTCAAGTTACTTAATGTCACCCACTTATTAATTGTCCAAAGAGAACCACTGAATAAATGCAAATTGACTCTGTCTGCAGAAATAGATGTTGACTAATTCAAGTTTAATGAGCCTCAAAATAGCATTTTAAGTATATTTTTATTTTTTATAGTCTTCAATCATATCTGTCTTTAGGGCTTGGATTTAGAAATGTTAAAGAACTATTCTGGGCTAATTAAGCTTGCTCACCTGACAGGTTTTCCACAGCTCACCAAATTCTCTGCTGAGGGCAATAGCACCCGTAGTTACAATAGGAAAGAAAAAAAGGAGATTATGTTGAAACAGATTTTGACAATTTGGAGACAATTCCATCCTCAAGAATTGCTCTACATAACAATGTTGCATATTTCTTCGAAACTGTGTGTATTTGGCAAACACTGGATAATTGTGTCATCTTTATACCAGAACCTGAAGCCTGTGCTGAGACGCCTCCTCTCTGATCAACGAATTCTTCCAATGCGTAAAGATGTACAAAGGGCTGACAGTTAAAAGAGCAGGAAAATGTAAAATGTTAGTGTGTTACTAAGCCCAGACTAAGAATATTGATTTAGATTATTTTGAATTATGATTTAAATATTCAGAAATATAATTATTCTACACATGATTAAACACATTCTCCTAAAGTATAAACTGCTTCAGGGGGAAGAGGCTAAGTAATTTTGGAAGCTGTGCCAACTCTTATGGGACACCAATGTAGCATTTAATTTTCTAAAGAAATAAATTACTAGAGTAAATAGCATTCAAATGGCAAGCCAGTTTTCCCAATACTGTGTATTGAACACGTTGTCTTTTTCCTAGTGTATGTTCTTAGCATGCCTTATCAAAACATCTCATGCACCCCATAAATATACACACCTACTATGAACCCACATACAATAAAAAATTTTAAAAAAATATAAAAACATAAATGGCAAGTCACCAAGTGCGATGGAATACAAATGAAACAGTAATTCCAAGCCCCCCACATGTAATTTTAAAAAATTTTATAATTTATATTTAGATAATATAAATAAAACAACATGTTGTAATGTTGGCCCTGAGCTCAAACTTCGCTTTTCTGTTACTGCTTTTGCAGAAAGGGAAAACTTATTGGCATGTGGTCAGGAGTAAATGAGATAATGCACATAACGATTTGCAGAGTGCCTGGCATCTTAAAGTTTCTGATCAAATATTAACATCTTCCCAGATTCCCTGAGCTGGAAATCTCCTTACTTTTCACAGAACTTCTGAAGCTCATCTCTTGTGGACCTCTCCTGTGGCACTTGCCACTTGCTAATTATACGAGTGTTATTTGTTAACTCTGCTAGGGAGAGCTCTGCCTGATTGATTCATCTTTGTATCCCTTTCATATCATCTGTCTTGTGCACAGGAGACACTCAGTAAATATTTGAATTAAAGTTTGAATTGATTAATGGATGTCCAAAACAATAAGTTAGCATCTCCCAGGAAATAAACTGCTCAGGAAAGTGGTTTTAGACTTATTTAGAAGCTTCTGCAACTCTATTGAGAACTTGGATTTGGAGCAAATAATCTGGGCTTCAGTTTCAATTTAACAGTTAGTATTGGAGTATTGCATGCATGGAAAAGTCAATGAATACAAATACCCACACAATGATTCTTTAATACACGGTAAAAATTAGCACAAAAAGTGTGTGTGTTACGAACTATGTGAAACTACTCTGAGTTTTTTAATGTTATCTTAATTCTCACAAGAACCCTGTGAGGTAGATGATTTATTATTCCCATTTTACTAATGAGGAAACTAAGGGACCTGGAAGCCACATAGCTAAGCAGCAGGATAAGAAGTTAAACCTAGGCAGCTGACTCCAAACTCCAAGCTCTTAATTAATTTGCACACAAAATTCTGTTTTCCCATGTGTATTATACACACAATCGGGAAATTATGAGATAACTGTAGGCAGCACATGGACAATTTTTTTTAATTCTGTATTGATTTTAGTTTGCATTGATATAGTATGCACATTAACTTATTATTTCATGAGTATTTTTACTTAGTGAAAGACTAGATTGGGTAATTGTTTTGGTCCTGAGTTGTTTTAAAGAAACATATGAAGTAAAGATTAATATAGGAGGTATTCAGCTACAGAAACAATTGTAAGGCAGTTGCCTGAAGATTAAGAATCCATATTAAGGAATATCTTGAAAAAGGGCTCCTACATTTCAGCTGATAGGAATATATTTTTCCTTCCCTGATGTATTAAATAAATAACCAAAGGATTTGATAACTATGTAATACACATAATTATAATTAAGCATTGCATTATACATATATGGTATTATTTGTATCATTATATGTCATATATTCATACATATGCACATTTTAATAGAATTTAGTAATAAAAATAACACCTTTAATGACCCATTACACATATTTCTTAAAGTTTCAAACTAATCTACATAGTATGCAGAGACAATTAATTTACTGGGAAATTTCAGAATAGCAATTTTCTATTACATCTCAAATGAAGGAAAAAATAGAATACCACATGAAAATGAGAAAATCATGGCTATTTTTCCAGATGCTTATATCATGTATTGTGGATTGTGAAAGCAGAAAGAAAACACTTAACATTCTTTTTTTATGGATGAGGAAACAAACTGTGAAGTTAAGCTTCTGTCTTCACTTTTACTTACCCACCTACAGAATCACTAGCATATAGGATTAGAACATATATGTCCTATATAAAAATTAACACTTTAACAAAAAGGAATGATCAATAGTGGTGATGGCGCTTGTGGGAGTAATTTTTTGGCTTTGCAGAAATAATCACTTTGGAACTTATTTTAAAATTAGGGTATCTGTTAACAAAAAATTAAGATTGTGTTTATATATTTTCCAGAAAAGATTATGTAATTGTTTATATCTGACATCTCTGCCAAAGTTTGCTCAAATAAATCAGGGATTGTGATATCTAATACTCTATCGTGTTACCTTTTTGTTTTCAGAAACAAACCTCTGAACTCTATAATTTTGGTTGTTTTGGGTGAGCATCTAGTGCTTTTAGGCTGTTTCAAGTGACTGTTTTCTGCCACCAACAAGAGCAGTGTTCAAGCAAGCCTTTTGCCAGTGTAATTACTGCAGCTAACCTCCGGTGGCTCACAGTGCCAGTTGCTGTTCTTTGTATTTACAAATTTACTTCTAATAAACCATATTTTCTGGCAGCCCCAGCACAGATGTTTCCCCTACCTCATCAGGCTGGAAAATCTAGACTGTAGGCAACAATGAACCCACTTGGCAGGGCCAACTTCCTATCTGCCAGTCTCAGGTACCCTCAGTCTTCCTTCAAACTTTCTTCCTGGTGGTGGTGTCCCCCAAGCCCAATATCCCTGCACTTTTATTAACTTCTTTCCATCAGTTCTTGTTCTCAGGAAAGAAACTGATCAAAGCAATTCTAGTAAGTTGTTAAATGTTTGATAATTTAATATGCTTCCTCTCCCAGGAATAGTTACACTTCAGTAACCTAAACGCCTTTATCCATAAGGATAAATTACAGAGGGTGAGATTTCTGTCATCAACAAACCCAGAGGGAAAAATTTGTTTGCTTTTGAGATTTTCCTAATGCCCTTGAAATTACACCAGGTCTGCTTCAACCAAGTAATGGGAAGATCTTTTAAGTTGACTGTATTGCCATGTATGCACAGAATTTTCAAATGCCTAATCTAGAAGATGCACAGGTAATGATGGAGAAATAAATTTTTAAAAACTAAAATATTTTAAATGTTTTAGTGCTCACAGGATTGCTACAGGACTCAAATGAGGTATAATGTTCAACTCCTAGTGCATTTGGACTCAAAGTCATAAATTTTTCTATTTCCAACTGAGTTTTACAGACTACTATTCAGAAAGACTTCTGAATACCACCAATATAATATTATATAGCATTGATTTTTAAAATAAATGCCAGGAATAAAGCAGGAAATAGGGAATTCTGTGTTCCTATATTCATGAAGCACCTAGTCATATTGCATTATAATTATTTTGTGTGTGTAGGGGGAGGTATTCTCTTCCCTATACTGGTAACCACTTTAGGGCAGGGATATGACTTCTTCAGCCATCTGTCTATAGTCCATAGCACAATTTCTAGTGAACATAAGACCCAACAAATAGTTGTTGAATGAATTATAGAGAAATTTCACTGTAGAACCTAGGTAAAAACCATTAGAATGAACTGTATAATTAGATGAAATTAACAATTTTGGAAGGAGTTGAGCAAGAAGATAAGGTTGATGGAGAGAAAATTACAAAATTAACAATAAAATTATATTTTCCCAAGGGGCAAAAACAATTATTACTCTTCGAATAATTACAATTCTGTACCTTTTTCTTCCATATAGATATAAGAACAGGAATTTAAAAATGAGTAAGCAAGTATGTTAGTGTTGAATTCATTTTTCCATCCCATGTATTTTAAGTTATTAAATCACTCATTCAACCAACTTGTCAACAGATATTTATTAAGGACTTGCTATATACCATCACTGAGTTGGATGCAGGGTAAGACGAAAAGACAGGCATACATTTGTGATAAAAACATTGGTGACTTGGACAAGGGTTTCATAGGTTAGTGGGGAGAGAAGCAACCCTAGAAAACAATAGAGATAGTGAATAAAGCAGGATTTCTCAAGATTTGCTCATAAGTTGATGAATGATGCAGATACTAGTGAACGTATATTGAACACTTAAGGGCCTGGTATAGTTCTAAAATATTTTGCGTATATTAACTTACTAGAGTCCCACAGTAAATGGTAACTAGGTACTATATTGTTATTCTCATTTTACAGATAAAGACCAACCAAAATAATAGAGTTCAGAGGTTTGTTTGGGGTAATGTTAGGCAGCACATGGACAGATTTTTATTTTATTTTTTTAATTCTGTATTTATTTTAGTGTGCATTGAAAGAACATGCACATTAACTCATTATTTCATAAGTATTTTTGCTTATTGAAAGATTAGAATGGGTAGTGGTGTTGGTCCTGGGTTGTTTTAAAGAAACATGTGAAGTAAAGATTAATATAGGAGGTATTCAGCTACAGCAACAATTACAAGGCAGTTTGTGAATGACTGAAGTTTAAAAATTCATATTAAGGAATATCTTGAAAATGGGGCTCCTACATTTTAGCTCACAGGAATGTATTATTTCGTTCCCTGATATAGTAAATAATCAAAAGATTTGATAACTATGTATACACATAATTACAACTAAGCATGGCATTATACATACATGGTATTATTTGTATCACCATATGTCATATATATGCCCATTTTAATAGAGTGTGGTAATAAAAATAACACCTTTAATGACTGCTTTTCAGAAGGAAAATATCAGGGCTTTTGTTCCCCTAGAAATCCTCAATCACCTGATGAATTATTTATAGACTTTCTTCCTATTTGTTTTAAATGACCTTGTAGTCCACTGAAGCAAATATTAATTTTTTGTCTTTGTATATAAATACTTTCAATTTACTAGAAATTATTCTGCTCTCGGGTCTCTTCTTAAATGATTGTGATAGATGATAAATGGAAGCTATCTATCTATAGGCGGATAGTCATATTTACAACTATATGTTGTATCTGTAGATAGATATAAATACAAATATGATACAAGTAGATAGATGATTGATAGATAGATAGATGGATGCATAGATAGATAGAGGCATAATGTAACTATGTAATTCAAGGGAGACAGAAATTCTAGAATCTCTGAATACTACTTGGTTTAGCCGACCTCTGTCAGAATAATTCTTTCCATGTTTGCTACATTTAAATAGACAAAAATAAAACTTGCATAGACTGAAATAAGACTAAAAGAATCACAGAATACTAAGTTCAGTATTCTTCTTCTTAGTTAACTTAAAATTCGAGTAGATTGTTATACCAGTATCTCAATCTTCACTCAATTTATTATTGTGTGGAAAACTGAATTTCCTGGATGTATTAATCCATTCTCACGCTACTATGAAGAAATACCTGAGGCTGGGTAATTTATTAAAAAAAAAAAAAAGAGGTTTCATTGACTCATAGTTTCACATGGCTGGGTAGGCCTCAGGAAACTTACAATCATGTTGGAAGGCGAAGCAAACACATCCTTCTACACATGGCAGCAGGAGACAAGTGCCAAGTGAAGTTGGGAAAAGCCCCTTATAAAACCATCAGATACCGTGAGAACTCATTCACCATTACAAGAACAGCATGGGGGACAGGGCCCCATGAACTAATCACCTCCCACGAGGTCCCTCCCACAACACGTTGGGAATTACAATTTGGATTACAATTCAAGATGAGACTTGCATGGGGACACAGAGCCAAATCATATCACTGGGTTTCAACACACCGAATTAACTTGTATACAGACAAATGTGGCATTTGAGGATGTAAGTATCTTCCCAGAATAATTCCAGAGCTTTACGCTGAATCCTTCTTAGAGACTTATTTCTCCTTTCAACTATTTCCTTGTCACTTCCAAAACAGATAACGAGAGACTTGAGAGGGATAGTGTAGGCAGATGTGTGACATGCCAGAGGAGAGTGGGGTTGAGATCAGCCTCTTATGCCCAGATCCATACAACTGGCTCTCTCCTTATGTTTTCAAAGTCTGGGAAAATGCTATCAAAATTATTTGCAATAACTGGATAGTGGGTTAACAAGGAATTACTGTAAACTCTGGAATATAGAGAAATGTTTGTGAATCAATTCATTAATTTTAACATTCGGAATTAGGTAAAATAAACTTTTTTTAAGCAAGGGCTTGTCATAGTTACTATCATTCTTAAAGTCTTTACCTTTTTTTCAGATTTATCTAAAATATTCTAAAACATATTTATTTTTCTAAAATTGTTCAATCTATATTCCAACATTATAGATGTGGATCTGAAGTAATACGATGATCTGAAGAATATTATGTATGACAAAAAATGTTATCATTATTAGACTCTGAGTAGAGACACTTCTGTAAAATTGCCAAAATGACTTATTTTCTGACACACCTAATACAGAATCTAGAGTTACAAGAATCCTGGAAGACAAGTTGGTTACTAGTGTCAACACACTAGAATCTCCTTTATTTCTAAACACATTTTCTATTTAGTGAACTATCATTAGCAAAAAAATAAATAAATAGAAATAAAAATCTGAAGCATTTGACTTAAAATTCCATTTATTTTTATTGCTGACTTCTTCAAGTAGATATTTCAAAACGGGAAAAAAACTACATATTTTACTCTTGTAGTTCAAGGCAAAGACAAGATCTACCTTTTCTTATATTATGCTCTAGCAATAAATATTGTTATTGAATAATTATTTTAGAAATCATTCAACTATCAATAGGGCATTAACAAATTGCAGACAGTTTAAGTTTTCTTGAGGAGTTTCTTTGCTTTGAGATTTTTAAATTGAAAAACAAAACTAAAAACACTTTAAATAACATTCCTTTATTTTTAATAATCAAAGGAGAATTTTCAACTTAAATAAAAATATGCACTTTGTATCAAATAGAAGATTCTATTTATTTTATAGAATCATTAACTCTTACCTAGTATTGAACAATATCACAGACTAAATTTTTATTTTAGCTGGCATTTTCCTAATTGTTCAGGCTGAAAACAAGTATTATTTTATTTTTTGCATCTTAATTTATGGTTTAGTTTTCATAAGGTGCTACTTTCAATAAATAATAAGTTCATGATAAAATCATATAGGAGTTGATACAATTAGCACCTCTTAAATAAATAAGAGTTTACTCAGAGCTTATATCTCTAAAATACATATTATATGTCATTTGTATTACATATAAATTAATTTATATGTAATTAAACAATACGGATAGCAAGATAATGACATTGCTTACACATTTTATTATTTAGTTGATAGTAATATTATACATTGCTTTTCAAAGTTTTCTTGTAATACTACAATGCAGTTATTCTTATACCAAAACTGAGCGTATATTCCAATAATTTGCTGATGTTGATGAAAAGATTTTGTTCTAATTTTAATGTCATTTTTATATAATTTTAAGATCAAAAGCAAACAAGACATGGAATACTGTATTCAGTCTCCACGTTGAAACATTATGGTTATGTGATGATCCATAATAATATTCAAAGTCCTAATAAAAGCACTGGGTAAAACTACAGGATGTAAGGAACCTTCAATAAGCATCACTTGTAATATTCAAACAACTCAATAATGCCAAATGTCATTATTGGTAAAAGGATGGTAAATAAGACTGTAAAGATTCTCAGTATAGGGAAGTAAGGGAGAGCATGATGTCTGCTGTCAATAGCCTGAAATTGAGTCTAGTGCTGCCATGTCATGTCTTAGGTTTGTGACTTTGAAAAAATACCTCATTTTCTAAAATATAAAGGAACTGCAAAGATTTGAAAGATCCGTCCTTTCCCAAACAAGTTTAGAACCAGCTGAAGAACATTTGCAAGGCATCAGAGAAATGAAAATACTTTTGTCAGTTTTGTTATTGATAATTGCTCAGTTAGAGTTGTGGATTTAGATCTTCAACTAGTGGGCTTCCGAATACTTTACCACAGAATGAAACATTCAACTCAGCCAGGCACAGTGTTTGGCAATTTCAGAGAGAGTTCCTCAACACATATCTGAAAGTTACTTCCATGGGAGTGGCTTCCATGGGAGAAAGAAAAGAACTGAGCTCAGCTTGCATAATGCTTTCTTCCAAACAGGAATGATATGGAAAAAAAATCCAACATTATCTCTTTGCTTGAAGACCTTACATATGTAAATATGATGCTAGAGAAAAGCATGGTCTTCTCAGAATACCAGTAGTATAAACAGTAAACAATAAATAGAAAATAGTAAACAGAATCAATAATCTACATAATAAATTTATCATGAGAAACAAATGAGAAGTGCATAATAGTGCTCAATAGTTATTAGTTGGTATGTTTAAAATTATTGCTATTAGTATTAAAATAATTTCTCAATCAGTTCTTTTAGCAAGCCAGAATTGTCTTGTTGGGCTACTCTAGTGGTTATAGATGTGGGAAGAAAAAATTTTAAATATTAAAATATAAACACAAGATCTCGTTTAACAAAATGTTAAAAGATTTATCTTTAATACAAAAATGTGTATCTTTATCTTTAATACAAAAATGTGTATCTTCATCAGTGAGTAGAGGTTGAGAGTAAAATTCTACCCAGAAATAAGGTGAATTTTTTTGTGTTGAGGCCGAAAGTTTACAAGGTGAGAGTGAAGGAGAAGTGCTATAAAGAAGATAGCACGACACAGTTGAGTGAGTTTCCAGGTATTAGGAAAGGGGTAGATAAGGAAAAGACAAATAAACACATTTAAAATATAAGGAGAAATGGAGATTTTGAAAAACTAGGGCATTTTAAACCAATGTGCTGGAGCTTGAGAACTGCTTGGGATGTCATGATGCCAAGAAAGAAGCAAAGTAAACACCAGTGGAAATCATGTTGGAGTGCCTATAGTAAGAGTTTTTTTTTCTTTGCGTATCTTCAAACATATGCATAAGTAGATAGAGTAGTATGACAAACCCACTATAGCCATCTGCCAGCTTCAACAAATATAAAAATGCAGCCAAATTTATTTCATCTAATACATCATATGTATACTACACCCTCCATCTTCAGATTTTTGGAAACATACCTCAAAGATCAGAACATTTTATCTGTAAATATTCTATACACATTTCTATAAGCTAAGAAGTCCTCAAAATGTATAACCTCAATTGCATTAGCCTAAGGATTAATAATAATTTCTTAATATCATATATCTAGTTAGTTTCACAATTTTGGCTGTCATAACCTTGTTTTTAAAAGAGTTTGTTTAAATCAAACCAAATAAATTAAACCAAATCAGGTAGATATATTGTAATTAATTAATATACTTCTGAAATATCATTTGATCTATAGGTTCTTCCTCTGTTTTATTATTTGAGCAAAAATTTTTTTGAAGAAACTAGTGCCTTCATACTGTAGAGTTTCCAGTTTCTTTTTTGTCCCCACATGAATGATTAGATATTTCTCCAAGAATGTGATGTGAAGTAGTTTTTAAAGATTATAAATGGAATCTAGATCTGCTTCTTGCTACTGCATTGTCATTATTTTAAGCATTTTTAGTAGTCAAAGCTAGAAAAGTTTTTGTTGGTTTTATAATAAACTACATCAAGAGCTTATAGTGATACATATAATCAAAATTTAGAAGTGTAGGTTTTTTCATTAATTTCCTTCCAAATATGCCAATGACAATATTATAATTACATATTTCATGTTTCTTACAATCAACGGAAGTCTCCACTAGAGTAACTGCATCATTACTACCCACATCTATTGACTGAAAATGTTTTTTTGTTTTGTTTTGTTTAATTTTATTATTATTATACTTTAAGTTTTAGGGTACATGCGCCCAACGTGCAGGTTTGTTACATATGTATACATGTGCCATGTTGGTGTACTGCACCCATTAACTAGTCATTTAGCATTAGGTATATCTCCTAATGCTATCCCTCCCCACTCCCCCCACCCCACAACAATCCCTGGTGTGTGATGTTCCCCTTCCTGTACCCATGTGTTCTCATTGTTCAATTCCCACTTAAGAGTGAGAACATGTGGTGTTTGGTTTTTTGTCCTTGTGATAGTTTGCTGAGAATGATGGTTTCCAGCTTCATCCATGTCCCTACAAAGGACATGAACTCATCATTTTTTATGGCTGCATAGTATTCCATGGTGTGTATGTGACACATTTTCTTAATCCAGTCTATCATTGTTGGATATTTGGGTTGGTTCCAAGTCTTTGCTATTGTGAATAGTGCCACAATAAACATACGTATGCATGTGTCTTTATAGCAGCATGATTTATAATCCTTTGGGTAGATACCCAGTAATGGGATGGCTGGGTCAAATGGTGTTTCTAGTTCTAGATCCCTGAGGAACCACCACACTGACTTCCACAATGGTTGAACTAGTTTACAGTCCCACCAACAGTGTACAAGTGTTCCTATTTCTCCACATCCTCTCCAGCACCTGTTGTTTCCTGACTTTTTAATGATCACCATTCTAACCGGTGTGAGATGGTATCTCATCATGGTTTTGATTTGCATTTCTCTGATGGCCAGTGATGATGAGCATTTTTTCATGTGTTTTTTGGCTGCATAAATGTCTTCTTTTGAGAAGTGTCTGTTCATATCCTTCGCCCACTTTTTGATAGGGTTTTTTATTTTTTTCTTGTAAATTTGTTTGAGTTTGTTGTAGATTCTGGATATTAGCCCTTTGTCAGAGAAGTAGGTTGCGAAAATTTTCTCCCATTCTGTAGGTTGCCTGTTCACTCTGATGGTAGTTTCTGTTGCTGTGCAGAAGCTCTTTAGTTTAATTAGATCCCATTTGTCACTTTTGGCTTTTGTTGCCATTGCTTTTGGTGTTTTAGACATGAAGTCCTTGCCCATGCCTATGTCCTGAATGATATTGCCTAGGTTTTCTTCTAGGGTTTTTATGGTTTTAGGTCTAACCTTTAAGTCTTTAATCCATCTTGAATTAATTTTTGTATAAGGTGTAAGGAAGGGATCCAGTTTCAGCTTTCTACATATGGCTAGCCAGTTTTCCCAGCACCATTTATTAAATAGGGAATCCTTTTCCCATTGCTTGTTTTTGTGAGGTTTGTCAAAGATCAGATAGTTGTAGATATGCAGCATTATTTCTGAGGGCTCTGTTCTGTTCCATTGGTCTACATCTCTGTTTTGGTACCAGTACCATGCTGTTTTGGTTACTGTAGCCTCATAGTATAGTTTGAAGTCAGGTAGCATGATGCCTCTGGCTTTGTTCTTTTGGCTTAGCATTGACTTGGCAATGTGGGCTCTTTTTTGGTTCCATATGAACTTTAAAGTAGTTTTTTTCCAATTCTGTGAAGAAAGTCATTGGTAGCTTGATGGGGATGGCATTGAATCTATAAATTACTTTGGGCAGTATGGCCATTTTCACGATATTGAGTCTTCCTACCCATGAGCATGGAATGTTCTTCCATTTGTTTGTATCCTCTTTGATTTCATTGAGCAGCGGTTTGTAGTTCTCCTTGAAGAGGTCCTTCACATACCTTGTAAGTTGGATTCCTAGGTATTTTATTCTCTTTGAAGCAATTATGAATGGGAGTTCACTCATGATTTGGCTCTCTGTTTGTCTGTTATTGGTGTATAGGAGTGCTTGTGATTTTTGCACATTGATTTTGTATGCTGAGATTTTGCTGAAGTTGCTTATCAGCTTAAAGAGATTTTGGGCTGAGACCATGGGGTTTTCTAGATATAAAATCATGTCATCTGCAAATAGGGACAATTTGACTTCCTCTTTTCCTAATTGAATGCCCTTTGTTTCCTTCTCCTGCCTGATTGCCCTGGCCAGAACTTCCAACACTATGTTGAATAGGAGTGGTGAGAGAGGGCATCCCCGTCTTGTGCCAGTTTTCAAAAAGAATGTTTCCAGTTTTTGTCCATTCAGTATGATATTGGCTGTGGGTTTGTCATAGATAGCTCTTATTATTTTGAGATACATCCCATCAATATTGAGAGTTTTTAGCATGAAGAGTTGTTGAATTTTGTCAAAGGCCTTTTCTGCATCTATTGAGATAATCATGTGGTTTTTGTCTTTGGTTCTGTTTATATGCTGGATTACGTTTATTGATTTTCGTATGTTGAACCAGCCTTGCATCCCAGGGATGAAGCCCACTTGATCATGGTGGATAAGCTTTTTGATGTGCTGCTGGATTCGGTTTGCCAGTATTTTATTGAGGATTTTTGCATCAATGTTCATCAAGGATATTGGTCTAAAATCCTCTTTTTTGGTTGTGTCTCTGCCAGGCTTTGGTATCAGGATGATGCTGGCCTCATGAAATGAGTTAGGGAGGATTCCCTCTTTTTCTATTGATTGGAATAGTTTCAGAAGGAATGCTACCAGCTCCTCCTTATACCTCTGGTAGAATTCGGCTGTGAATCCATCTTGTCCTGGACTTTTTTTTGGTTGGTAAGCTATTAATTATTGCCTCAATTTCAGAGCCTGTTATTGGTCTATTCAGAGATTCAACTTCTTCCTGGTTTAGTCTTGGGAGTGTGTATGTGTCCAGGAATTTATCCATTTCTTCTAGATTTTCTAGTTTATTTGAGTAGAGGTGTTTATAGTATTCTCTGATGTAGTTTGTATTTCTGTGGGATCAGTGGTGATATCCCCTTTATCATTTTTTATTGCGTCTATTTGATTCTTCTCTCTTTTCTTCTTTATTAGTCTGGCTAGCAGTCTATCAATTTTGTTGATCTTTTCAAAAAACCAGCTGCTGGATTCACTGATTTTTTGAAGGGTTTTTTATGTCTCTATTTCCTTCAGTTCTGCTCGATCTTAGTTACTTCTTGCCTTCTGCTAGCTTTTGAATGTGTTTGCTCTTGCTTCTCCAGTTCTTTTAATTGTGATGGTAGGGTGTCCATTTTAGATCTTTCTTGCTTTCTCTTGTGGGCATTTAGTGGTATAAATTTCCCTCTACACACTGCTTTGAATGTGTCCCAGAGATTCTGGTATGTTGTGTCTTTGTTCTCGTTGGTTTCAAAGAACATCTTTATTTCTGCCTTCATTTCATTATGTATCCAGTAGTCATTCAGGAGCAGGTTGTTCAGTTTCCATGTAGTTGAGCAGTTTTGAGTGAGTTTCTTAATCCTGAGTTCTAGTTTGATTGCACTGTGGTCTGAGAGACAGTTTGTTATAATTTCTGTTCTTTTACATTTGCTGAGGAGAGCTTTACTTCCAACTATGTGGTCAATTTTGGAATAGGTGTGGTGTGGTGCTGAAAAAAAATGTATATTCTGTTGATTTGGGGTGGAGAGTTCTGTAGATGTCTATTAGGTCCGCTTGGTGCAGAGCTGAGTTCAATTCCTGGGTATTGTTGTTAACTTTCTGTCTCATTTATCTGTCTAATGTTGACAGTGGGGTGTTAAAGTCTCCCATTATTATTGTGTGGGAGTCTAAGTCTCTTTGTAGGTAACTAAGTACTTGCTTTATGAATCTGGGTGCTCCTGTATTGGGTGCATATATATTTAGGATAGTTAGTTCTTCTTGTTGAATTGATCCCTTTACCATTATGTAATGGCCTTCTTTGTCTCTTTTGATGTTTGTTGGTTTAAAGTCTGTTTTATCCAAGACTAGGATTGCAACCCCTGCCTTTTTTTGTTTTCCATTTGCTTGGTAGATCTTCCTCCATCCCTTTATTTTGAGTCTATGTGTGTCTCTGCACGTGAGATGGGTTTCCTGAATACAGCACACTGATGGGTTTTGACTCTTTATCCAATTTGCCTTTTAATTGGAGCATTTATCCCATTTACATTTAAGGTTAGTATTGTTATGTGTGAATTTGATCCTGTCATTATGATGTTAGCTGCTTATTTTGCTCGTTAGTTGATGCAGTTTCTTCCTAGCCTTTATGGTCTTTACAATTTGGCATGTTTCTGCAGTGGCTGGTACCGGTTGTTCCTTTCCATGTTTAGTGCTTCCTTCAGGAGCTCTTTTAGGGCAGGACTGGTGGTGACAAAATCTCTCAGCATTTGCTTGTTTGTAAAGTATTTTATTTCTCCTTCACTTATGAAGCTTAGTTTGTCTGGATATGAAATTCTAGGTTGAAAATTCTTTTCTTTAAGAATGTTGAGTATTGGCCCCCACTCTCTTCTGGCTTGTAGAGTTTCTGTGGAGAGATCAGCTGTTAGTCTGATGGGCTTCCCTTTGTGGGTAACCCGACCTTTCTCTCCGGCTGCCCTTAACATTTTTGGGTGGTTCTTTCTGTCCTTAAGAACCCACTAGAGATGTGTGCCCAAATTACTATATTTTTAAAACATTGGAATAGACATTTTATGCGTTTTTGTACCACCAATGAATGACACAGGATCATTTATTTTACTTCTGATTTTTACATTTTAAATTTTATTTCATTCTATAACTATGCTATAATTATACTATATACAATATTTTTACATGGTTTTAAATGCAAATCCATATCTAAAGATCTGTTTTAAGAAATCTAGTTTCTATTGTGACCTCCACCCATTTCCCTCCTCCTCTTATAAGTAACCATATTTTATGGTTTACTTATTTGTTGTTAAATATCAAAAACACATGCAAGCACATATGTTCCTCCATTATTAAATAATATCACATTCGGTATTCTTTTATTCATTTTGCTTTTCTTAGTTATGAGTGTATCATGGTGACCATTCTGTTGCAGATTGAGTTCTATGGAAAGGAGACACTGACATAGAGATTAATGGGCAAGTGGTTAGAGAATGCTTTGGAAACACCATCTATGAAAGATAAAGGAAAGGAAGGAAGTAGGATTGGATAGTGGGAGTAGTTGGGATGACATGCAGTCATTTTTTAAAAAATTTCAGCTTTTAGTTACAATAAAGAGGGGGTAAATGTGAGAATTAGGATTGTTACATGGGTGTAGGGGAGCCAGCTAGTGAGCATAGTACCCAATGGGTAGTTTTTCCACCCATGTACTCCTCTCATCCTCCTCCCTCTAGTAGTCCATAGCGCCTGTTGTTCTCATATTTATGTCCATGGTTGCTCAATACTTACCTCCCACTTATAAGTGAGAACATGAGTATTTGGCTTTGGGTTCTAGCATTAATTCATTTAGGCTTATGGCCTCCAGCCATATCCATGCTGCTGCAAAGGACATGATTTCATTCTTTTTTATGGCCATGTAATATTCCATGGTCTATATGTACAGCATTTTATTTATCCAATCCACCATTAATGGGCACTCATATTGATTTAATGTCTTTGCTATTGTGACAATGAACATATGATTCAATGTGTCTTTTTGGTATAATGACTATATTCCTTTGGATATATGGCCAGTAATGGGATTGCTGGGTTGAATGGTAGCTCTAAGTTCTCTGAGAAATCTCCAAACTTCTTTGGGGTGGGGTGGTTGAACCATTCCCACCAACAGTTTATAAGCATTCCCTTTTCTCTGCAGTCTTGCCAGCATGTGTTGTTTTCGATTTTTTATAATTGGCATTCTGAATGGTGTGAGCTGGTATCTCGTTGTGGTTTGGATTTGCGTTTCTCTGATGATTAGTGACAATGAGCATTTTTTCAGATGTTTGTTGGCCATTTATGTCTTCTTTTGAGAAGTGTCTGTTTATGTCTTTTGCCCACATTTTAATGGTGTTATTTGATTATTGCTTGTTGATTTCTTTAAGTTATTGATAGATTCTGGATATTAGACCATTGTCAGATGTATAGTTTGTAAATATTTTCTCCCATTCTGTAGGCTATTTACTTTGTTTATCATTTTGTTTGTCATGCAGAAGCTCTTTAGTATAATTAGGCCTCACTTATCAGTTTTTGGTTTTGTTGCAATTGCTTTTGGGGACTTGGCCATAAATTCTTTGCCAAGGTTGATGTCCAGAAGGATATTTACGGTTTTCTTCTAGGATTCTTGTAGTTTCAGGTCTTATATTTAAATCTTTAATCCATTTTGACTTAATTGTTGTATACAGTGAAAGGTAAGGGTCCAGTTCCATTCTTCTGCACATGGCTAGCCAGTTATCCCAGCACCATTTATTGAATATGGACATCTTTCTCCATTGCTCATTTTTGTTGGTCTTGTTAAAAATCAGTTGGTTGTAGGTGTGAAGCTTTATTCATGAGTTTTCTATTCTTTTCCATTGGTCTTTGTGTCTGTTTTTGTACTAGTGTCATGCTATTTTGTTTACTATAGCCTCACAATACAGTTTGAAGTCAGGTAGTGTGATGCCTCTGGCTTCATTTTTTTGCTTAGAATTGATTTGGCTATTTGGCTTCTTTTTTGATTCTGTATGAATTTTAGAATACTCTTTTTCTTTCTTTCTTTTTTTTTTTACACACACACACTTTTTTACTTCTAAACTTTCAGAGGATAGGGCTCTTTCATATACTTCTACAGGGCTGAAAAATAGGCAAAACCTATTTAAATTGTTAAATGTGCATACGTTTTTATTTGTATGCTAATTTAAACATTTTTTTTCATAGATTATTGGGGTACAAGTGATATTTGATGAGATGAGTAAGTTCTTTAGTGGTGATTTGTGAGATTTTGGTGGACCTACAACCCGAGAAGTATTCACTGAATCCAACTTGTAGTCGTGTATTCCTTGCCCACCTCCTTCCCTTCTCGCCAGGTCCCCAAAGTCCACTGTATCATTCCTATGCCTTTGTGTCCTCACAGTTTAGCTCCCACTTATCAGTGAGAACATATGTTTGGTTTTCCATTCCTGAGTTACTTCACTTAAAATAATAGTCTCCAATCTCATCCAGGTCGCTGCAAATGCCATAATTCATTCCTTTTTATGGCTGAGTAGTATTCCATCCAATTGTGCTGCAGTAAACACGCGTGTGCAAGTATATCTTTTGTATAATGACTTCTTTTCCTCTGGGCAGATACCCAGTAGTGGGATTGCCGGATCAAATGGTAGTTCTACTTTTCGTTCTTTAAAGAATCTCCACACTGTTTTCCACAGTGGCTGTACTAGTTTACATTCCCACCAGCAGTGTGTAGAAGTGTTCCCTGATCATCACATCACTCCAACATCCACTGTTTTTTGAATTTTTTTATTATGACCATACTTGCAGGAGTAAGGTGATAACACAGTGTGGTTTTAATTTGCATTACCCTGATCATTAGTGATGTTGAGCATTTTTTCATGTTTGTTGGCCATTTATATATCTTATTTTGAGAATTGTCTATTTATGTCCTTAACCCACTTTTGATGGGATTGCTTTTTTTTTCTTACTGATATGTTTGAGTTCATTGTAGATTCTGGATATTAGTCCTTTGTCAGATATATACATTGTGAAGATTTTCTCCCACTCTGTGGGTTGTCTGTTTACTCTGCTGACTGTTCCTCTTGCAAAAGCTCTTTAGTTTAATTAAGTCCCAATTATTTATCTTTGTTTTTATTGCATTTGCTTTTGGGTACTTGGTCATGAAATTCTTGCCTAAGCCAATGTCTAGAAGGGTTTTTCCAATGTTATCTTCTAGAATTTTTATAGTTTCAGGTCTTAGATTTAAGTCCTTAATCCATCTTGAGCTGATTTTTTGTATAATGTGGGAGATGAGGATCCAGTTTCATTCTCCTATATGTGGCTAGCCAATTATCTCAGCACCATTTGTTAAAAAGGGTGTCCTTTCCCTGCTTTATGTTTTTGTTTGCTTTGTTGAAGATCAGTTGGCTGTAAGTATTTGAGTTTATTTCTGGGTTGTCTATTCTGTTCCATTGGTCTATGTGCCTATGTTGATACTAGTACCATGCTGTTTCAGTGAGTATGGCCTTATAGTATAGTTTGAAATCAGGTAGCATGATGCTTCCAGAGTTGTTATTTTTCCTCAGTCTTGCTTTGGCTATGTGGGCTCTTTTTTGGTTCCATATGAATTTTAGAATTGTTTTTTCAAATTATGTTAAGTGATGGTGGTATTTTGATGGGGATTGCATTGAATTTGTAGATTGCCTTTAGCAGTATGGTCATTTTCCAAATATTGATTCTACTCTACCCATCCATGAGCTTAGGATGCATTTCCATTTGTTTGTGTTGTCTACGATTTCTTTCAGTAGTGTTTTGTAGTTTTCCTTGAGGAGGTTTTTCACCTCCTTGGTTAGGTATATTCCTAAGTTTTTTTTTTCTTTCTGCAGCTGTTGTAAAAGGGGTAGACTTCTTGATTTGATTCTTTGCTTGGTCGCTGTTGGTGTACAACAGAGCTACTGATTTGTGTAAACTAATCTTGTATCCAGAAACTTTGCTGAATTCTTCATCAGTTCTAGGAGCTTTCTGGAGGAGTCTTTAGGGTTTTCGAGGTAAACAATCATATTGTCAGCAAACAGTGACAGTTTGACTTCCTCTTTACCTATTTGGATGCCCTTTATTTCCTTCTCTTGTCTGACTGCTCTGCCTAAAACTTTCAGTACTATGTTGAAGAGGAGAGGTGAGAGTGGGTATCCTTGTCTTGTTCCAGTTCTCAGAGAGAATGTTTTCAACTTTTCCCCATCCAGTATTATGTTGACTGTGGGTTTGTCATAAATGGCTTTTATTACACTAAGGTGTGTCCCTTGTATGCTGATTTTGCTGATAGTTTTAATCATAAAGCAATACTGAATTTTGCCAAATACTTTCTCTGCATCTATTGAGATGATCATGTGATGTTTCTTTTTAATTCCATGTATATGGTGTATCACATTTATTGACTTGTGTATGTTAAACCACCCCTGCATCCCTGGTATGAAACCCACTTGATCATGGTGGATTATCTTTTTGATATGATGTTGGATTCAGTTGGCTAGTATTTTGTTAAGGATTTTAGTATCTGTATTCGTCAGGGATATTGGTCTGTAGTTTTCTTTTTTGGTTATGTCCTTTCCTGGTTTTGGGATTAAGATGATGCTGGCTTCATGGAATGAATTAGGGAGGGTTCCCTCTTTCTCTATCTTGTGGAATAATGTTAAAAGGATTGTTACCAATGCTTCTTTGAATATCTGGTAGGATTCTGCTCTGAATCCATCTTGTCCTGGAATTTTTTTGTTGGTAATTTTTTAATTACCACCTCAATCTCACTGTTTCTTATTGGTCTGTTCAGGGTATGTAATTCTTCCTGATTTAAGCTAGGAGCATTGTATTTTTCCAGGAATTTATTCATCTCTTCTAGGTTTTCTAGTTTATGTGCATAAAGGTGTTCATAGTAGCCTTGAATGATCTTTTGTATTTCAGTGGTGTCTGTTGTAGTATCTCCCATTTCTTTTCTTAATGAGGTTATTTGAAGTTTCTCTCTACTTTTCTTGGTTAATCTTGCTAATGGTCTATTAATTGTATTTATCTTTTCAAAGAACCAGCTTTTTGTTTCATTTATCTTTTGTATTTTTGTTGTTGTTGTTTCAATTTCATTTAGTTCTGCCCTGATCTTTGTTACATCCTTTCTTCTGCTGGCTTTGGATTTGGTTTGTTCTTGTTTCTTTAGTTCCTTGAGGTGTGACCTTAGAATGTCAGTTTGTGCTCTTTCAGCCTTTTTGATGTAGGTGTTTAGGGCTATGAACTTTCCTCTTAGCACTGCCTTTGCTGTATTGCAGAGGTTTTGGTAGGTTGTGTCGTCATTGTCGTTCAGTTTGAAGAATTTTTAAATTTCCATCTTGTCTTCGTTTTTGACCCAGTGTTCATTCAGAAGCAGGTTATTTAATTTCCATGTATTTGCATAGTTTCAAAAGTTCCTTTCAGAGTTCATTTCCAGTTTTATTCCACTGTGATCTGAGAGAGTGCTTCATATAATTTCAATTTTCTTAAATTTGTTGAGGCTCATTTTATGACCTATCATATGGTCTACCTTGGAGAAAGTTCCATGCGCTGTTGAATAGAATGTGTATTCTGCGCTTGTTGAATAAAATGTTCTGTATATATCTATTAAGTCCATTTGTTCTAAGGTATAATTTAAATCCATTGTTTCTTTGTTGACTTTCTGTCTTGATGACCTGTCTAGGGCTGTCAGTGGAGTATTTAAGTCCCCCACAATTATTGTGTTGCTGTCTATCTCTTTTCTTAGACCTATTAGTAATTGTTTTATAAATTTGGGAGCTCCAGTGTTCGGTGCATGTATGTTAAGGATTGTGACATTTTCCTGTTGGACAAGGCCCTTTATATAATGTCCCTCTTTGTGTCTTTTAACTGCTGTTTCTTTGAAGTTTGTTTTCTCTGTTATAAGAATAGCTACTCTGCTGGCTTTTGGCGTCTATTTGCATGAAATTCCTTTTCCTACACCTTTAAGTTTATGTGAGTCTTTTTGTGTTAGGTGAGTCTCCTGAAGGCAGCAGGTAGTTGTTTGGTGAGTTCTATCCCTTCTGCAGTTCTGCATCTTTTAAGTGGAACATTTAGGCCATTTACATTCAATGTTAGTATTGAGATGTGAGGTACCTTTGCATTCATCCTGCTATTTGTTGCCTGTGTACCTATTTTTTTTCTGTTTCACTTGTATTCTCATTTTATACGTCATGTGTGATTTATGCTTTAAAGAATTTCTATTTTGATGTGTTTCCAGGATTTGTTTCAAGACATAGAGCTCATTTTAGCAGTTCTTGTAGTGGTGGCTTGGTAGTGATGAATTGTCTCCTCATTTGTTTGTCTGAAAAATACTGTATTGTTTCTTCATACATGATACTTAGTTTTGCTGGATACAAAAATTATTGGCTGATAATCATTTTGTTTGAGGAAACTGAAGATAGGGCCTCAATCTACTCTAGGTTGTAGAGTTTCTGCTGAGAAATCTGCTGTTAATCTGATAGGTTTTCCTTTATAGGTCACCTGGTGCTTTTGTCTCACAGCTCTTAAGATTCTTTCCTTTGTCTTAACTTTGGATAACCTGATTGTTGCGGGACAATCAAAGACTGGAGAGACTGAAAAAGGTTCGGGAGAATTTATTAAATTGAAGTGATAACTGGCTCAGCCGGACATACGTCCAGAAAGTCTGAGCCCCAAACAAAGGGCTTTTCCTACTTTTAAACATCTTAAGGTGGGAACTACGTGAGACAGGAAGCGAGTTACAGAAGCAAGAAACAAAGGCAGCATTACAACATTTCTTTACATCTTGAGAGAAATATGTCTTGCAACCAAAACTTTTCAGTCTTGTGACCCTGCAGGCACGCTAGGGAGGTAAGCAGAAACTCGCTGGGCCTGTAATAAACTTTGAGGAATGTGGAGTTGGGGAGTATAGATAAGGTCTACTGACCGCAGAGAGAAGATAGGCTGTTAATATTCTCTTTTAACTTGAGTGTAAGTCGGGAGGGGGGGTGGGGGGAGTCACACTTTGCAGCAACTTTATGAGGATTTTAAAATTTCTGTTACTACTACTAGTAGGTTATAGTTGATTTCATTAATTCCTTCTTTATTCCCCCCTTTGTGCTCGACACAAATGTAGATTAGTAAAGAGCACTACAGTTAGCTATTTCTTCTTGAGTGGGTACATACTCATCTTGGGATACCAGTTGGTACTTTTGCAGAACCATTATTCGGGTGGTGATATGTCTGTCTACTATTGCTTCTATGGTGGATTAGATGCTTCTGATGAGAAGTGTCAGGAGACAGGGAACCATTAGGCATACACCTATTATGGCCACAAAGCCTATTATTAAAGTTTTAAAGCCTCCAAACCATGAAAACCATCCTCCAAAGAGTGAACTTGGGTTCCAGCCAGACCACATCTGGACTGGAACATGAGCTAACTTCTGCTTCCTGGCAGTGATTTCCATGACAGCTTTTCCATTGTCATCAATTTGTAAGCAGCAATTCATTGAATTAAGCTTTCCACAAACTCTTCCTTCTGAAGCTAAAAGATAATCCAGTGCTAACCTGTTCTGATAAATAACATCTCTCCTCTGGGTTGCCTGTATGGCTAGCAAGTCTAAGGCTCGGGCTGTTTCACTGACTATAATCTCCAGAACTGCTTGCAACCTTATGATGTGGTTTAACATATAAATAAGAGTACAGCATCCTCATGACCCATCTTGTGCCCAGCTGGCCAGTCCATAGTATTTGATAATTCTTTCAGGGGGCCATTCATTATCTTTCCAGCTCCCTATTTCAATGTCCTTTTTAATGTTAGTATTTATTTTTTCCACAGTACTTATTTTTGTAAACACATTTCTTCTGATTCTTTTTCCACCTTCATCATAGCCCGGATAGCTTAGATCTTCCCCTTGCTGCAGTGGGAGTAGGAAAAAGGATGGCCTTATTTTTCCTAATACACATGCCCCTGTCCATTTATCAGGTAGTAATTGATAAGCCTTTGTTCCACAGATCCAATATAACCCTGCAGGTGCTCTCCAAACAGTTGGAGCATCTAATTGGTACTATGATTGATTTAATGTTGGGAACAGCAAAAAAGGATTACAGTCTGACACAGAGGAATTGTCTATAAAGCTTCTTCATTGTGTTATGTTCTTGGATTCTTCAAAATATTGTTGACCTAGGCAAGTTGTTTCCCCTACCTGGTTCTGAAAGGCCTTGTCAGGCGATACAGTATTTTCCGATGATGGGGTTCCTTAATAGCTAAACACTTGGATTTGCACTGAATTTTGTAGCAAATTCGGGCAAGGTAAAATTGTCTTGCGGCATCAATTCTTTGGCTTCCCAGGGCCATTGACCTCCCAGATTAGTACCTCCACATACATAACATGAAGTAACTCCGAAATTGTTAGCAATACTTTTGGCTAGCTGGGTAAACACATTTTCAACTGATATAGGAGGAATTTGAATTTTTGATACTTCAGGATTAAAGTGTTCCTTGAAAGATTTATAAAACCTAAACTGTTGCATTGGGGTAACTTAAACTTGGGTCCTTTGGGTTTTCTTCGTGATGACCAGAGGAATACCAAGTCCTAGGAGAGCTCCTGCCTGATCAAAGGTTAGTAGCCCTTATCCATTTTAGTCCAGAAAGGCATATTTGGCTTTAGTACTGTCAGATTGAGTGGGTTGCATGTTCCAGTTGTGCACCCTATCTTCACTTCTTGGCTGGCAAACAGAGCAACCCTTCCTGTGTATAGTTGCTGATTAAATTCATCATGGTCCACTGATTTTAACAATCAGGGCACTCTTTTTTGGACTCTTCTATTACGGCCTTGGTGGCTCTGCTGCTGACTTTTTCTTGTCCTAGAGTTTTACAGATGGTCCCAATATTATTTAGTTTACTGGGATGTGCAGCTTGGCAGCAATCAAAATATATGGAGATAGGCCCTTTATTTGAGTAAGGGAATACTTCCATTTTGTTTACAAGTTTGCCGACCCCAGTTTCTGTGGGGTTTGTATATGATAGCATTAGGGGTTCACCAATTTGGACTTCAAACCAGAAGTCATAAGGCAAGAACTCTGGTCATAACATTCTTGGGCTGCCTGTTTCCAGGATCACAGACTGAGTAACTAGTCTGGTTATAGACACAAGTTCCTGTATGAGTCTCTGTATACTCATAGTAGGTCTGGTATAACAGAGTTTTAGTCACACCTTTTCTGGACCAGGCTTCTACTATACAGTGATGACAGTCATCCTAGTCCCCTTTTATAACCATAGGTGAAAGTATAAATGGCTTTAGTATTACTAATATGATTAAACTCATACTATGCATAAGCACCCTTCTGGGCAACAAGCTTGGCAACATTTGCAAAGACAACATGACAGTAAAATAATCAGTACAAGTAAGAGTATAACTATGCTTGTAAATTCAATCCACATTTACTTATCTATCATTGATTTCCTTAGGCTTCGGCCATGTGTAGACTAGTCAGCTTCCAGTTGTGTGACTAGAGCAGGGCTTGATGTTTCCTTAAGCTTCAGCTGTGCGTGGACCGACCAGCCTCCAGTGTGGATGGAGCAGGGCAGTTGCCCTTGTCAGTAGTGGCTTGGTCTCACCACAGGATCAGCCGTGTCAGGTGGTCTGGGTTTTATTGACTGGTCCACTGGTCCTGAGTTGTGGTCACTGCTGGTTTTAGCTGGCTATGATGAACCCAAGGTGTGATACCTGCAACTTCAACAGCAGTGAGGTAGACAAGATCACAATATGGGGACCATCCGATAAAGGCCCTAAGGTGGTTGGGTTCCATCATTTGACCCAGACAGAGTCTCCAGGTTGGAAGGGATATACTGCATCTGTGAGACTAACAGGTATTCTTTTCCTTACCCACCCTTGTATTTACTACATGGTCTCACTTAAGGCTTGCATTTGCCTTCTTAAGGTTAATTCCCCAATTTATTTTAAATCCCCTTTTATCTGAATTATGATTGAGGGTGGTCAGCCGAACACTATCTCACAGGGTGAATACCCGGTTAATTTAGTAGGGGTGCACCTGACATGGAGAAGGACCACGGGCAGCACCTGATCTCACCTTAGATGAGTTTCTTGACAAAACTTCTTTAACAGCTGTTTGAGTGTCCAGTTCATTCTTTCAACTCTTCCAGAACCCTGTAGGTGATAAGCTGTATGCAGTTTCCATTTGATTTTTAACATCTGCGTTAGCTGTTGTACTATCTCTACCACAAACACTGGGCCACTGTCTGATCCTAATGTTAGAGTCAGTCAAAATCTAGAAATAATGTCCTTTAGTAAGATCTTGGTTACTTCCTGAGCTTTCTCTGTCCTGGTGGGAAATGCCTCAACCCACCCTGAGAAAGTGAAGGCAAACACTAGCATGTACCAGTAGCCTCTGGCTTGAGGCAGCTTGGTAAAGTCCACAAGCAGGTTTTCACACGGTGTAGCTCCAGTTTCTTGAATCCCTGGGGGCCATGTTGGCCCCTGCCATGGATTGTTTTGGGCACAAGTTAAACATTGCTCACAAATGGCTTGAGCGATGGCAGTTAGGTGCAGCACATAGAAATGCTGTCCTACAAGAGTCTCTAATGCAGTTTTTCCCATATGCATTCCTTGATGAAACTTTTATGAACTGGGCGGGCGGGGGGGCTATTGGAAGGCGAGCCTCCCATCTGAGAACTTCCACCAACCTCCTTTCTGGTAACTTCCACTGTCCTGCTCAAATGCCTTTTCATTAGAGGAGTAGTTAGTGGGTTCTGTTAGGGGAAGCTCCAGTAAGGGCATGGTAAGGGTTTCCTCTTCCTTCTTAGTTACCTCTGTCATTGCAGCTCTTTTGGCTTCTCTGTCGCCTTTCTGTTTCCTCTAGCCTCGTCACGCCCTCCTGTTTGATGCCCTTTGCAATAGATGACTGCTACTTCTTTTGGAGCCCATATGGCTTCTAAGAGCTGCTCTATTTCCTTTTCATTTTTGATTTCCTTTCCTTCAGTAGTTAATAATCCTCTTTCCTTGTATATGGCTCCATGGGCATGCAAATGGCAAAAACATACCTTGAGTCAGTATAGATGCTTACTGACTTTCCTTTGGCCAAGAGCAACGTTCTAGTGAGAGCTATTAGCTCAGCTCTTTGGGCCGAAGTTCCGACCAGCAGAGGGCAGGCTTCAGCTACTGAATTCAGTGTTACCACTGCATATCCAGCCCATCTGACACCTTCAGATATGAAGCTGCTTTCATCAGTAAAGTATTCAACATCTTGGTATTTTAAGGGCTGGTCCTTTAAGTCTTTTTAGCTTGAGAAAACCTCATCCACTGTTTCCACACAACAGTGATACCCTGGGCCACACAATGGGGGCTTTCCATGCTCCACCCACTGTATTGGCAGCAGTGTGGCTGGATTTAGATTATTCACAGTCTCTAAGGTTATATAGGGGTTTTCACAAAAAAGTCCTTGATATCTTAACATCCTAGGGTTAGAAAGCAAGCGATACCCCCTCTGCTCCAACAGGGTGATGACCATGTGGGGCACGCAAATTATTAACCTTTGTCCAAATGTGAGCTTGTTAGCATCTTGCGCTAACAGGGCAGTGGCTGCCAATGCCATCCCATAGCCACCAAGTCTAGTCACTTGAACAAATATGCCATGGGCTGATATCATGACCCTAGTTTTTGTACCAAGACTCCTGTAGCTATTCCTTTTCTTTCATGGACATACAGGTAAAAAGGCCTTGTCATGTCTGGCAGTTCCAATGCTGGGACCTGGATCAAGGCCTTCTTGATTTCTTTGAAGGCCGTGTCCTGCTCTTTTCCCCACAGGAGGGGTTCTTTCCCCCCTCCCTTTGGTAGTCTCATACAATGGTTTTGCCGAGTGTGTAATTTGGAATCCAAATGTGAGACAAACCAGCTGCCCCTAAAAACTCCCACACTTGTTGTCCAGTGCCAGGTTGAGGAATGCCACACACAGTCTCTTTTCACTCATGTCCGAGCTCACGCTGCCCTTGAGAGATGTTAAAGCCAAGATACCTTGCTCTTTGGCCACAGATTTGTGCCTTTTCCTTAGACACCTTATAGCCAGCCTCCCACAGAACACGAAGGAAGCTTTCTGTGCCTTGAAAGCACTCTTCTTTTGTGGGTGCAGCTAACAATAAATCATCTATATACTGCAACAGGACACGGCGGTCACTTGGTGGCATGAAAGCCTTCAGGTCTGGGCTAGTGCTTCCTTGAAAATGGTTGGGGAGTTTTTCAATCCTTGGTGGAGTCTGGTCCAAGTATACTGTGATAAGCCCCACTCAAAGGCAAAGATGCTTTCAGGAGCTAGTTGGATGCAGAAGAATGCATCCTTTATGTATAAGCATGTAAACCAAGCACCATCAGCAGGAATTCGCCCAAGCATTGTATATGGGTTGGACACAATGGCATATAATGTAGCTGCAACCTTATTTACTGCCCATAAATCCTGTACCGGCTGGTAATCTCCGGGGGGCTTTAACACCGGTAGCAATGGAGTGTTCCAAGAAGAGGCACATCTTTCTATTATCCCAAATTTAAGGAACTGGTCTATATGCTTAGTAATCCCATGGGTGGCTTCTGCTGGAATGGGATTGTGACAGATTCACACTGGGTAAGTGCCCCACAGCAGTTCCACCACTACGGGTGCCTGATTTATGGCTAGCCCCGGGGGATTGTCTTCCACCAAGACCCCTGGCAGCTTGAGAAATAATTCCTTATACATTGCCTCATTTTCCCACTGGCAAAATGCATCTTTACAAATTTTGCATCTCTCATAGAGTCTCCATTCCTCTGTTGTTGGGACAGTAAGCGTCATTATGATGGCTTTTCTTTGACCTAGGTTTAGAGTCATGTCCCCTTCTAGTGTAAAGGAGATTTGTGCTTGCAATTTCTGGAGCAAATCTCTTCCTAACAAGGGCACCAGACAATTTGGCAAATATAAAAATTCATGTTGGACACATATTTTAGATTTGAAATAAGGCCTCTTTTCTGTTATTCCTGTAGCTCCAATTATATTGACATAATTTTTAGACAATAGCCAAATTGCTTGATTTACTACCGAGTGCTCCACACCAGTATGGACCATAAAGTCCTTTTTCCAGCCTCCTACCTCCATTGAGACCATAGGCTCCTCGGGGCCTAATGAAATGGAGCCTGGTCTGTCTCAGTCCTCATAATAATAATTGATTCCTGCCAGTCCGATTAAATCCATGTCTGATTTCTGAATCCCTTGACCAGCAGTAGGGGGTTCTGGCCAGCCATTTTGTCCCTGATTGTTGCCTTTATCCTTTTCTCTTTGTGGGCATTCATTCTTCAGTGTCCCATCTGCTTGCATCTCACACATTGATCTCTCTCAGGCCTAGGTCAGCTCTTGTCCTGGCTTAGCTACCTAGTTTTACCTAGCTTGTCCTCTACCACGACCATGACCACAACCACATCTTCTCACAAAACCAGTTTCTTTTCCAACTAAGGCTGCCACCAGCAAGTCTGCCTTTTCCTTAGCTCTGTGTCTGGCTTCTCTCTTGGCCTCCTCATCCCAATTTACAAATACATTAGTAGCCACATAGATAACCTGGGTTATTTAGGTGCCTTCAAAACCTTCTAACTTCTGAAGCTTTCGCTTTATGTCTCCTTGTGCCTGGCTTACAAATGCCACATTAACCATACACTGATTACCCGCAGCCTCTGGGTCAAATGGTGTGTAAAGCTGGTAAGCCTCGCACAGCCTCTCATAAAATTCACTGGGACTTTCATCTGGCTTCTGGCAGACCTCTGAGACTTTTCCAATATTGGTGGCCTTCTTCCCTCCAGCCTTTATTCCATTTAGGAGTGCCTCTCGATACCACTGCAAGCTTTGTAGCCCTTGAGCCTGGTTAGGGTCCCAGCCTGTGTCAGCCTCTATTGGGAGTGCTTGTTGTGCATACTGCCTGATATATCCTGTACCTGCAGGTGCATTGTTCTCCAGCCACTGGAAGGCAGCTTGTATAACTCTATGGTGCTCTTCTGTATTAAATAATGACTGAAGAAGTTGTTTGCAATCAGCCCAGGTAGGATTGTGAATTAGGAAATGGACTGCATTAGATCTATAAGAGCTTGAGGTTTCCCTGTATAAGAGGGAGTATGTTGTCTCCAATTTAAGAGATCAGTAGTAGAGAAGGGCTGATAAATTAAGAGCCATTCTCCCCCTTGGACTTCATTCTGTGCATTCAAATAAATTTGTTCCCATGTTTCTTGGAGGGGGATCTGCATTGCTTGGGCATGGCCTGACCTAAGGCGGCTGACCTCATCCCCCTGGAGTTCCTCCCTTCACTTTTCAGGCAAGGGCTCTGGCTCCTCTCTGCATGGTGTTGCCTGAGGGGTGCTTTCTTCTGAATCTGAACCTCTGGGGGCAGCTGGGGCAGCTTCCTGTCTAAGCCTTGCCAGGGATGGATAAATTGGTGCATAGAGGGCTGGACTTTCTAACTCTTCAGGTGGGGCCTGTAGGACGGGTTTTTTCTGCTTTTCCTGTGAATCCTTTTCTTTTACTGATGCCTTGCAATCTCTTTCTATGGTTCCTGGTTTTATCTGGGCCATTAGAGTCTTACAGTAGGTCTCAAAGCAGGCCTGCAGCCACTTAGGGTGGTTTTGAATTATACTTAGCCAGGAGTCAATATATGGAAACTGATCTGGGTGCCCAGGCTGTTCTCCAACCCCGGTGACTACCCGGAACACTTGGCCCATTATTTCCCTGTCTATTGTCCCTTCAGCCAGCTACCCTACATTAAAAGATGGCCGGTCTATCTCACAAAGGGTCCTCAGTTTCTGTGGAGTTAGCATAACCCAATATCATTAAAACCTTTCTTAAAATTTTTCAGCATGCACCCCAGTGGAGTAGGCTTTGATACTTTTCCTCCCATTTCCTCCCTTGCGAGGTGCTTTCACTCTCACTTTCACTCTTGGATCCACCAGACTGGGTCCTATTATGGGAGGTTCAAACACTGCTTAGCCAGGAGCATGCCTTAATTCCTGTCACAGCTAGCTGCAGCTGTGGAGCTGGTCCTATGGGCTGTATACAGTGTCCTAGATCTGGTTTTTCCCACATTCACCTCAGAGCACATAGTCCACACTAAGAGATCCGTGCCTCCCCACATCACGCCCCATGATGGTCTCTCCCGAGACTCTCTTCCACACACTTTCACACACCTCCTCCGTCCCTGAAACGGTTTTCCTTTCTGACTCGTGGGCCCCATCCACATCTGGTGTCAGTTAGGGTGTGAATTTTGTCCGAGTCAGTGGGCCTCTCCCAGTGTTCCCAACCCCCTCGGGTTGGACTAGTCATCATGCCCTGGGATGTGATCAAGCTCCCCTTCTGTCTTTATGGGATGGGTCTTGCCTTAGGGCCCAAACCTTACTGTGGTTCAGATGTCTGCACATGCTCCCGTGACCATCCTGCAACCCTTTCTACTGGTTCCATTTGTGCTGTTGGGGGAAGGCTCCAGAATGCAGGAGGGCCATTCTCCTTCCAGGCTGAAACTCTCCTGGCAGTGCCAAGGACCCCAAGTCTCCCACATCCTGGAGCTGTAGTCCACAGGTAAAGGAGACAGAAAATCTGCCATCTCCAATCCCAGATGGGCCCCCAGAAATGGTACAGGACAATCAAAGACTGGAGAGACCAAAAAAGGTTCAGGAGAGTTTATCAAATTAAGGTGATAACTGGCTCAGCCAGACATTTGTCCAGAAAGTCTGAGCCCCAAACAAAAGGCTTTTCCTACTTTTAAACATCTTAAAGCAGCAACTATGTGAGATGGGAAGCAAGTTACAGAAGGAAGAAACAAAGGCAGCATTACAACATTTCTTACATCTTGAGAGAAACATGTCTTGCGACCTAAACTTATTGGTCTTGTGACCCTGCAGGCATGCTAGGGAGGTAAGCAGTTTATTACGCTGGGCCTGTAATAAACTTTGAGGAATGTGGAGTTGAGGAGTATAGATGAGGTCCACTGACCACAGAGAGAAGACAGGCTGTTAATATTCTCTTTTAACTTGAGTGTAAGTGGGGGAAGGGGGTCACACTTTGCAGAAACTTTAAGTTTTAAATTTCTATTACTACTACTATTAGGTTATAGTTTATTTCATTAATTCCTTCTTCATGATGACAATATGCCTAGGCAATGAGCTTTTTATGATGAATTTCCCAGGTGTTCCTTGTGCTTCTTGTATTTGGATGTCTAGGTCTCTAACAAGGCCAGGGAAGTTTTCCTTAATTATTCCCCCAAATATGTTTTCCAAACTTTTAGATTTCTCTTCTTCCTTAGGAATACCAATTATTCTTAGGTTTGTTCATTTAATATAATCCCAGACTTTTTGGAGACTTTTCATGTTTTCTTATTTTTTTCTTTGTCTTTTTTAGATTTAGTTCAAAAACCTTGTCTTCAAGCTCTGAATTTCTTTATTCTACTTGTTCAATTATATTGCTGAGACTTTCCAGAGAATTTTGCATTTTTGTAAGTGTGTCCAGTGTTTCCTGAAGGTTTGTTTTTCCTTTATGCTATCTATTTCCCTGAATATTTCTCCCTTCACTTCTTGTATTGTTTTTTGGATTTCCTTGCACTGGGCTTCACCTTTCTCTGGTGCCTCCCTGATTAGCTTAATAACTTACCTCCTGAATTCTTTTTCAGGTAAATCAGAGATTTCTTCTTAGGTTGGAACTATTTCTGGTGAACTAGTGAGACTTTTTGGGAGGTGTTAAAGAGCCTTGTTTTATCATATTACCAGAGTTGGTTATCTAGTTCCTTTTCATTTGGGTAGGCTCTGTCAGAGGAAAGGTCTAGGGCTAAAGGCTGTTGTTCCGATTCTTTTGTCCCACAGGGTGTTCCCTTGATGCAGTTCTCTCCCCCTTTTCCTATGAATGTGGCTTTCTGTGAGCCAAGATGCAATGATTGTTATCTCTCTTCTGGATCTAGCTACACAGCAAGCCTACCCGGCTCCAGGGGGTTGTCTGCACAGAGTCCTGTGATATTAACCATCTGTGGTCTCTCAGCTGTGGATACCAGCACAGTATTTGAGATATCTCCAGGGTCCTGCAGGAGCACTCCACTTCCTTCAGAGGGTCTGTGGGTCTTCTTGGGATTCCTGGTTTGTTCTTTTAGAATAGCTTTTTTCTAATGCTGTGAAGAATGACTTTGGTAGTTCGATAGGAATAACATCAAATCTTTAAGTTTCTTTGGGCAATTTCAGTGATATTAATTCCTCCAACCCATGAGCATGGAACATTTTTCCATTCATTTGTGTCATCTCTGATTTCTTTCGGCAGTGTTTTGTAGTTCTCTTTGTGTGGTCTTTCACCTATTTGGTTAGCTGTATTCCTAGGTATTTCATTTTCTTTGTGGTTACTGTAAACAAGATTACATTCTTGATTTGACTCTCAGCCTGGATGTTATTGATACATAGAAATATACCGATTTTTATACATTGATTTTGTATCCTGAAATCTTGCTAAAATTATGTATCAGGTCCAGTAGCCTTTTGGCAGAGTCTTTATGGTTTTCTAAATATACAGTCCCATCACATTGAAGAAAGATCGTTTGACTTATTTTCCTATTTTGGATGCATTTAATTTATTTCTGTTGCCTGATTACTGTGGCTGGAACTTCCAGTACTATTGAATGGGGTGATGTGAGGGGCATCCTTGTCTTTTTAAGTTCTCAAGGGGAAAGCTTTTGCCCATTCAGTATATTGTTGGCTATGGAATTGTCATAAATGGCTCATATTCTGAGGTATGTTTCTTCAATGCCTAGTTCGTTGAAGGTTTTTACCATGAAGGCATGTTGGCTTTTATGAGAAACTTTTTTATGCATCTGTCACAATGATTATTTGATTTTTGCTTTTAATTCTGTTTATGCAGTGAATCACATTTATTGATTTGCATATGTTGAACCAACTTTGCATCCCAAAAATAAAGCCTACCTCATCATGGTGAATTAACTTTTTGATCTGCTACTGGATTCAGTTTGTTAGTATTTTGTTAAGAATTCTTGCTTCTATGTTCATCAGGGATATTGGCCTGAAGTTTCCATTCTTTGTCGTGTCTTTGCCAGATTTTGGTATTAGGCTGATGCTGGTTTGCTAGAATGAGTTAGGGAGGAGTCCCAAAGGCTCTGAACAATCCCATGTCAAGTTTGTAGCTGGACTGACCATTAAGAGCTGTCAAAAGTTAGGGTGATGGGTTCAGGCTGTTATTGTCCCTTTTTGACCCATTGTTGAATGTAAACTTCCCCCAGAAAATGGGAGTAAACTTAGATGATCCCACATTCTTGGGCTAAAGTACTTCCCAAAGAATGTTCAAATGTAAAGTCAACTTGCCAGCATCACTTCCAATAGTGAAAGGAGGATGAAAATCCTTTACTCCTAGAGGGAGATCTGGATGGATACCACGGCATCTACTGCACACTCCATATGTCCATTATGGACATATTTCTACTCCAATTCACAGCATGTAGTTGTACAGCATTTTATTTGGGTAAGATCTTGTAGATGGACATTTAGGATGTTTTCAATTAAAGGTAGTTTTGATGTATTGATTTCCCAAAATCAGTGTGAAGAATTAGCCCCTAGCTACTAGCTCCCTCCTCAAAATTTATACTGAAGTAGTTATATTTCAGTATAGTCGGGAAACATGAACCCAAATATATCACACAAATGTATAAAGAAAATTTATTGGATGACTCATAATTCTCAAAATAAATGCAAATATGTCCACACACAAATCTGTACATGAAACATCATAGCAGGAGTATTCACACTAGCCAAAAATGGAAACAACCCAAAGGCGAATCAAGCGATGTATAGATAAAATATGATATATCCATGCAATGGAATGTTATTCGGCAATTAAAAGGGGTGAAATACTGATACATGTTACAACATAGAGAAATGTTAAGAAAATTATACTAAATTAAAGAAGCCAATCACATAGGATGTGTAACATATCCACAATAGGTAAATCTATGAGGATAGAATGTAATATTAGTAATTCCCTAGCATTGAAGAAATAATAGAGACAAACTACTAACAGGTAAGGTGTTTCTTTTTGGGGTGACAAATTATTCTAAAATTAATTGTAGTAATGGTTGAATAACTCTGTGAACATATTAAAACCCTGAATTGTATTTTTAAATAGATAAATTATATATGATATGTGAAGTTTACCTCAATAAAGCTGTTAAACAATAAAGAAATCATGGGAAATTAGTATACAGATAGCTGCATTGAAATTATGTGTGTGAATGTCTGAGGATGGGGTAGGTGCTGTAGAGATTGTACTGTGGAAAAGAGCATGTCTGTTCTTGCTGAGAGAGTAAACTGGAGAGAAACAGACAAAATTGTGCTCAGGCTTTTCTGGTTCCATTGTCCAGAGACATTCTTTGCCAGTTTCTGCAGTGAAGAAATAATAACCAACAAAAACACTGATGCAAATATCCATGGAATAAACTTTCGGCTGCTTTGAAACCTTGCTGACCTGAAAACTTTAGAAACATAGCTTCAAATGTTGTCCTGTAATTTTGTCATTCCAATCCTCCAGAGAAAATGATTATTTGCCCCTGAGTTTCAATACTTCACCTCAACCACAAAACTTATAGAAGTTCCTATTCAGCTTCTGCAAATTTCATCTGCCACTTGTAAATTCAAAATATAAGAGGAAATGTCAAGATCAACACTTTGTACTTTCCTTCTCTCTGAGATATTGGCCCCTCAAGTCCTTGCTTCCGTGGTAGTTCCCTATAGCCTGTAAATATAATTTTATATGAATTATATCTAGTCATATTAATAAGAGACTTGGTCTCCAACAAGTTACTGTGCTGTTATCAGAAACAGAAATCTATCAGTCTATTTCCTTAAACTGAACTTTATCTGGGTTTCTACTAACATGATATTGCACCAACACCTAGCCCCACATATGCTATATGGTGATTTTGTTTGAATTAGAAAAAGTAAACCCTCTAGGTTTACAGATTTTTTAAAGCACACCTTTTCTGAGCAGACAGCTTGGGGAAAAAATGTCGATTAATTTTCAGGCTCTACTCCACTTTATCAGCTAGACTTTCTTTGTCAATGAACAATTTGCATAACCATATATGGTGACCCTGTGCTTACTACCGAGTATGTGCTTAGTAAATAGTTGTTAAATCCATGTATAAATTTTATATTTGTATGGGGAATTTGACTTAACCCACTTTCTAGTTTACTTCTACATGTAGACTATGTCCACTTGAACCACATAAATATTACAAAGTGCATATGACTTGGTGAATAGATCAAAGTAAAATAAAATTGATTTAAGTATCACCAAATTTTGTGAACTAAAGTATTCCTATATTTATATAGTTGTTTTGTCACTAAGTTGCTAAAGTCCCACATTTAAGATATTTATAGACTAACATGTGATAGTTGGCCTTATAGACAACAAATAATTACCATCCAATTTTTTCTTAGTCTATATAACAACTAAACATCAGAAACACTACATTAACATCCAAGTTCATCCATATGGCCTTAGAATCAGCACTTCCTACCAATTTCTCTCTTTTTCTTGATCTATTATTTTCCAAGTTCCCAAGCCTTGGAATGATTTATGAGAAACTAATAAATACTTAGTAGGCATTTAATAAATATTCATAGCATGGAATATCCTACTTCTTTATTTTTCTGTTTTCTCCTTTATGGCCCACGTGTAATTTATTAAAGTCATTAATTTACTCACCATAATATCACTCACATTCTTTCGACTTTTAGCTTGTGGCTAAAAAAGTATAGGACTAAATTACATCAGCCTTATATTATTTATTAGCTTTCAAATACTCCAGTCATTTTGAAGCTGGTACTAATGAAATTTGATTATATTATCAATGAATATATCAATAAATGAATAAACTAAGCCTGAGTAACATATAGAATTCAGTTTAGAGTAGATTCACCATAGGAGAGCAATAAAGTAAATTTTAAACATGATAGTGGAGAGACTGTAAATGTTTAAAAGATTAAAATTAATAAGTGTTCATAGTATTTGAATAACAAAAAGAGGGATTTATATCTGTAAAGTTGGGCAATCATTGAAGCATAAACGCTAAGCCAAGTAAAAATGTGTTAAATTTAAAAGGTAATACACAACAATATGAACATATTACTTAGAAACTTGAAAGTCAATAACAGAATAAATTTATGAAATAGTATGAAAATTTTTTTGAGTAGGGAATCAGGGTAATAGTAAGGGTTTGGTACTGGAAACTGTTCATTCCATTATTATAAGCCATGTGGAATTTTTCGTTTAAAAATAGCATATTTATTTTATGTTACAAGCCAAGTAGAATTTATTTTTTAAAAAGCATATAGGTTTTCTGGCCATGAATGAGTAATTGCTACTACAATATCTTATTTACATAAATAATTGGAATACAGGGAAAAATCTGGAAGAATACAAAATAAAGTAATAATACAATGTCCAAAATTCAATAAACATGATTAAATATGGAAAAAATTTGTGGGAAACTGTGGCCAATAGGATAAAAATGACTCAAAGAAAACCAGTAAGGAAAGAAATCATAGAGATTATATGATCAACGTAAAAGACTTTAAAATTGTCATTATCAATTTGTCTAAGGACTGAAGAAAAATAGGAGAAAAATGGAAACTAAAAAATAAGAATCTAGTATAGAAATAACAAAAAGTCAACTAATAAAGTGAAACAAGTAGAACATCTAAAGATAAAAATATAATACCTCAACTATGTTTGTTTAACAATATATTACACACTGCAGAATAAAAGACCATTAAACTTGACAGGAGTAGAAACTATGCTGAAAGAAAGATATAAAATGGTGGGGAAAAAATGAGCAGAGATTCAACAACCCATAGACTCAATGACCTAAACAGATAAAAATTTCAAGTAACTGGAGTTCCAAAAGATGGAGAGATAAATAAGAACAGAATAACTGTTTGAAGAAATAATAACAAAATTGTCCAGATTTGAAGAAAAATATCAAACAATATATCTAATAATCTTAATAAAACCTAATAAAAAATTTATCACTGACTTCTCATCTCAAACAATGCAAAGCAGAAGACAATGGAACAATATCTTTTAAGTGCTGACTTTAAAAAACAAAAAAACCCTTCAACACAGAATTCCAAATCCAACAAAAAATGTCACTCAAAATAGTATGAATTAATGACATTTTTAGGCCAAAAAATAACCTAAGGGAATGTGCTTTAATTAGAACTATATTATAAGATGTGTTAAAGGAAGCTCTTCAGGTGTCAGGAAAATGATACCAAGTAATAACTTGGAACTGCAAGGCAAATTAAGAGTGCCAGGTGGGGATGAGGCACAATGATGAGGAAAACTGAGAAAAGAATACATCACAACAGCAGCAGCAGCAGGGAAGAAAGGTCTTGTGGCAGCTTAACTGGAATATTCTCTGTAATTTAAGGGGAAATGTCTGTCTTCCTGTCTGTCTGTCTATCTATCTGTCTATCCATCCATCCATCCGTCCATCCATCCATCCATCCATCTGAGATTGCCTGTATTTACACACAGACACACACACATACACACACACATGCACACACATATCTTCAGAAATTTTTCTCTCATAAAAGGTTTAGCCTAATTTAATATATAGTTTTTCAATAGAAGCTTTGTTTTAAAAAAATCTGATGCAGAAATCCAATATCGAGAGCATGTACAAGTAAAATTGTTCCTTAGTAACATGGGAGCAGAAGCCCTATTCACAGTTGTTCTCCTCCTGCTAAACGAAGTTCTTTCAGAAAACGTAGGTTCCTCAGATAATACAGGATGAAAACCATTGATTTAATCAATTGGTATTGCTAGATTTAAGAATCTCATTTTTTTTACATTTCTAAAACTTTTACCTAATTATTAGTAAGATAGGTAGCTAAAAAGATAGATTTCAAAAACAAATAAATAATAAATCTACAATAAAGATGAAACTATTGAAGTTGTTTTTGTAATACCAATTGACTATTTCTTAATTGATTCCAAACCAACTTTATTGGTTTTCAAAGTACACTAATCTAAAAAGTCACTTAAATTGGGCTAAATCAGTTACAGTAGACAGCAAAGACTACCATTAAAAAACAGAAGTGGCAATAACAATATAAAGAGAAAGGACTTTACTGATTCAAAAGTAAAAAGAAAGGTTAATACGCACAAAAATATAATTAGATACAATGAATAAGATCTAGTATTTGATAGTATAACAGGGTGACTATAAGTCAGCAATAATTGGTTGTATCTTTTAGATTAACTGAAGGAGTAAAATTGGAACGCTCATAGAACAAAGAAATAATGATTGCTTGAGGTGCTGGATACCCCATTTACCCTAACGTGATCATTACACATTGTAAGTCTGTATCAAAATATCTCATATACCCCACAAATATCTATACCTACTATATATCTATAAAATAAATAATAATTTTTTAAATAAAAAATCACACACATACAAAAATAGATTTTAAAATAAGTTTTAAAATAAATAAATAAAAATAAAAATTTGTTTGGAAAAGGCATTTCAACTCCAAAAAAATTGTTCCTTAATACCAGGTTAACCAATAATTTAGATATTCTTCAAGTAATTGTGTCTAATATGTCAAGAGGATAAAAACATGAAAACTTCTCATACTTTCATGTATTTTCATAGCATCAAATGATTAGATACATGATTTTAAAAAATTGTGATGTGTTTGTATTTAAAATTGTTGAGTTGTAAATCTGGAATATTGTATACAGCAGTCTATATTATCACATCGAATGCCCTCTGTCTAAACTTTGTGTAACTACTACTGATTATTAATATGGAAACTGCTTATACAGTATGGATAATCCACTGACTTCAACTTTCTTTAAAGGAATGAGAGCTAAAGCCATCAAATGCCAGAGAGAGAATTAAATATTGTAATACTAATATGGAGGTAGAATAAAAGGTAACATATTGAAGATATATTTAGAAATGTAAGACAACATGTTTGAAATGAAAAAAGGGAGAATTCTGGGTGTTTTTTTATTATGATCTAAGTTCTGGAGTAATGTACAGAACAAGCAGATTTGTTACATAGGTATACACATGCCATGGTGCTTTTCTCCACCCATCAACCCGCCATCAACTTTAGATATTTCTCCCAATGCTATTCCTCCCCGAGGCCCCCACCCCCTGACAAGCCCTGGTGTGTGATATTCCCCTCTCTGTATCCATGTGTTCTCATTGTTCAACTCCCACTTATGAGTGAGGACATACAGTGTTTGGTTTTCTGTTCTTGTGTCAGTTTGCTGAGAATGATAGTTTCCAGCTTCATCCATGTCCCTACAAAAGCCATGAATTCATGTTTTTCATGGCTGCATAGTATTCCATGGTTTATATGTGCCACATTTTCTTTATCCAGTCTATCATTCATGGGCATTTGGGTTGGTTCCAAGTCTTTGCTATTGTGAACAGTGCCACAATAAACATACGTTTGCATGTGTGTTTATAGTAGAATTATTTATAATCCCTTGGTTACATACCCAGTAAAGGGATTGCTGGGTCAAATGGTATATCTAGTTCTAGATCCTTGAGGAATTGCCACACTGTCTTCCACAATGGTTGAACTAATGTACACTCCCACCAACAGTGTAAAAGCGTTTCTATTTTTTCACATCCTCTCCAGCATCTGTTGTTTCCTGACGTTTAATGATCATAGTTCTAACTGACATGAGACAGTATCTCATTGTGATTTTGATTTGCATTTCTCTAATGACCAGTGAAAATGAGCTTTTTTTCATCTGTTTGGTGGCTGCATAAATGTCTTCTTTGGAGAATTGTCTGTTCATATCCTGTGCCTACTTTTTGATGTTTTTTTTTTTTCTTGTAAATTTAAGTTCTTTGTAGATTCTGAATTTTAGCCCTTTGTCAGATGGATAGATTTTAAAAATTTTTCTCCCATTCTGATGATAGTTTCTTTTTCTGTGCAGAAGCTCTTTAATTAGATGTCATTTGTCTATTTTGGCTTCTGTTGCCATTGCTTTTGGTGTTTTAGTAATGAAGTCTTTGCCATGCCTATGTCCTGAATGGTATTGCCTAGATTTTCTTCTACAGTTTCTTGGTTTTAGATCTTACATTTAAGTCTTTAATCCATCTTGAGTTAATTTTTATATAAGGTGTAAGGAGGGGATCCAGTTTCACCTTCCTGCATATGGGCAGCCAGTTTTCCCAAAACCATTTATTAAATATGGAATCCTTTCCCCATTGCTTGTTTTTATCAGGTTTGTCAAAGATCAGATGGTTGTAGATGTGTGGTGGTATTTCTGAGGTCTCTGTTCTGTTCCATTGGTCTATATATCTGTTTTGGGACCAGTACCATGCTGTTTGTGTTACTGTAGCCTTGTAGTATAGTTTGAAGTCATGTAGCATGATGCCTCCAGTTTTGTTCTTTTTGCTTAGGATTGTCTAGGCTATGTGGGATCTTTTTTGGTTTGATATGAAATTTAAAGTAGTTTTTTTCCAATTCTGTGAAGAAAATCAATGGTAGCTTGATGGGGATAGAATTGAATCTATAAATTACTTTGGGCAGTATGGCCATTTTAGAATACTGATTCTTCCTATCCTTGAGCATGGAATGTTTTTCCATTTGTTTGTGTCCTCTCTTATTTCCTTGAGCCGTGTTTGGTAGTTCACCTTGAAGAGGTCCTTCACGTCCCTTGTAAGTTGTATTCCTAGGTATTTTATTCTCTTTGTAGCAACTGTGAATGGGAGTTCAGTCATGATTTGGCTATTTGTCTGTTATTAGTGTATAGGAATACTTGTGATTTTTGCACATTGATATTGCATCCTGAGACTTTGCTGAAGTTGTTTATCAGCTTCTGGAGATTTTGGGCTGAGACGATGGGGTTTGGTAATACTCAATCACATCATCTGCAAACAGAGACAATTTGACTCCCTCTTTTCCTAATTGAATACCCTGTATTTCTTTATCTTGCCTCATTGCCCTGGCCAGAACTTCCAATACTATATTGAATAGGTGTGGTGAGAGAGGGCATCCTTGTCTTGTGCCGGTTCTCAAAGGAAATGTTTCCAGTTTTTGCCCATTCAGTATGATATTGGCTGTAAGTTTGTCATTAATTGCTCTTATTATTTTGAGATACTTTCCATCAGTACCTAGTTTATTGAGAGTTTTTAGCATGAAGGGTTGTTGAATATTTTTGAAGGCATTTTCTGCATCTATTGAGATAATCATGTGGTTTTTGTCATTGGTTCTGTTTATGTGATGGATTACACTTATTGATTTGCATATGTTGAACCAGCCTTGTATCCCAGGGATGAAGCCGACTTGATCGTGGTAGATAAGCTTTTTGATGTGTGGCTGGATTCAGTTTGCCAGCATTTTATTGAGGGTTTTCTCATCGATGTTCATAGGGATATTGGCCTGAAATGTTCTTTTTGTGTATGTGTCTCTGCCAGGTTTTCGTATCAGGATGATGCTGTCCTCATAAAATGAGGTAGGGAGGTTTCCCTTTTTATCCATTGTTTGGAATAGTTTCAGAAGGAATGGTACCAGCTCCTCTTTGTGGATTACACTTATTGATTTGCATATGTTGAACCAGGCTTGCATCCCAGGGATGAAGCTGACTTGATCGTGGTAGAAAAGCTTTTTGATGTGTGGCTGGATTCGGTTTGCCAGCATTTTATTGAGGATTTTCTCATCGACGTTCATAAGGGATATTGGCCTGAAATGTTCTTTTTGTGTATGTGTCTCTGCCAGGTTTTGGTATCAGGATGATACTGTCCTCATAAAATGAGTTAGGGAGGTTTCCCTTTTTTTCCATTGTTTGCAATAGTTTCAGAAGGAATGATACCAGCTCCTCTTTGTACCTCTGGTAGAATTTGGCTGTGAATCCATCTGATCCTGGACGTTTTTGGTTGGTAGGCTATTAATTACTGCCTCAATTTCAGAAGTTATTATTCAGGGATTTGACATCTTCCTTGTTTATTCTTAGGAGTGTGTATGTGTCCAGAAATTTATTCATTTCTTCTAGATTTTCTAGTTTATTTGTGTAGAGGTGTTTATAGTATTCTCTAATGGTAGTTTGTATTTCTGTGAAATCGGTGGTGATATCCCCTTTATCATTTTTTATTGTGTCTATTTGATTCTTCTCTCTTTTCTTCTTTATCAGTCTGGCTGGTGGTGTATCTAGTTTGTTGATCTTTTCAAAAAACCAGCTCCTGAATTCATTGATTTTTTTGAAGGGTTTTTCATGTTTATATCTCCTTCAGTTCTGCTCTGATCTTAGTTATTTCTTGTCTTCTGCTAGCTTTTGAACGTGTTTGCTCTTGCTTCTCTAGTTCTTTTAATTGTGATATTAGGCTGTCAATTTTAGATCTTTCCTACTTTCTCCTGTGGGCATTTATTGCTATAAATTTCCCTCTACACACTGCTTTAAATGTGTCCCAGAGATTCTGTTGTGTCTTTGTTCTCATTGGTTTCAAAGAACATCTTTATTTGTGCCTTAATTTTGTTATTTACCCAGTCACTCAGGAGCAAGTTGTACAGTTTCCTTTAGTTGTGCAGTTTTGAGTGTGTTTCTTAATCCTGACTTGTAATTTGATTGCACCATGGTTTGAGAGACTGTGTGTTATCATTTTTTTCTTTTGCATTTGCTGAGGAGTGTTTTACTTCCAATTATATGGTCAATTTTAGAATAAGTGTGATGTGGTGCTTATTAATTTTCTGTCTCATTCATCTAATATTGACAGTGGCGTGTTAAAGTCTCCCACTATTATTATGCGGGAGTCTAAGTCTCTTTGTAGGTCTCTAAGAACTTGCTTTATAAATCTGGGTGCTCCTGTATTGGTTGCATATATATTTAGGATAGTTAGCTCTTCCTGTTGCATTAATCCCTTTACCATTATGTAATGCCCTTCTTTGTCTCTTTGGATCTTTGTTGGTTTGAAGTCTGTTTTATCAGAAACTAGGATTGCAACCCCTGCTTTTTTTTTTTTTTTTTTTTTTTTGCTTTCCATTTGTTTAGTAAATCTTCCCACATCCCTTTATTTTGAGCCTGTGTGTGTCTCTGCACATGAAATGGGTCTCCTGAATACAGCACAGCGAAGGGTCTTGACTCTTTGTCCAAATTGCCAGTCTGTGTCTTTTAATTGGGGCATTTAGCCCATTTACATTTAAGGTTAGTGTTGTTATGTGTGAATTTGATCCTGTCATTATGATTCTTGCTGGTTATTTTGCCCATTAGTTGATGCAGTTTCTTCATAGCGTCAGTGGTCTTCACAATTTGGTATGTTTTTGCAGTGGCTGGTACCGGTTGTTCCTTTCCATGTTTAGTGCTTCCTTCAGGAGCTCTTGTGTGGCAAGCTTGGTGGTGACAAAATCTCTCAGCATTTGCTTGTCTGTAATGAATTTTATTTCTCCTTCACTTATGAAGCTTAGGTTGGCTGGATATGAAATTCTCGACTGAAAATTCTTTTCTTTAAGAATGTTGAATATTGGTCCCCACCCTCTTCTGCCAAGAGATCCATCATTAGTCTGATGGGCTTCCTTTTGTGGGTAACCCGACCTTTCTCTCTGGCTGCCCTTAACATTTTTGCCTTCTTTTCAACCTTGGTGAATCTGACAATTATGTGTCTTGGGTTTGCTCTTCTCGAGGAGTATCTTTGTGGTGTTCTCTGTTTTTCCTGAATTTGAATGTTGATCCGCCTTGTTAGGTTGGGGAAGTTCTCCTGGATAATATCCTGCAGAGTGTTTTCCAATTTGGTTCCATTCTCCCCATCATTTTCAGGTACAACAATCAAACCTAGATTTGGTATTTTCACATAGTCCCACATTTCTTGGAGACTTTGTTCATTTCTTTTCACTCTTTTTTCTCTAATCTTGTCTTCTTGCTTTATTTCATTGAGTTGATCTTCAATCTCTGATATCCTTTCTTCTGCTTGATCGATTTGGCTGTTGCAACTTGTGTATGCTTCATGAAGTTTTCTTGCTGTGTTTTTCAGCTCCATCAGGTCATTTATGTTCTTCTCTAAACTGGTTATTCTAGTTAGCAATTCGTTTAACCTGTTTTTAAGGTTCTTAGCTTCCTTGCATTGTGTTAGGACATGCTCCTTTAGCTCAGAGGAGTTTGTTATTACCTACCTTCTGAAGCCTACTTCTTCCAATTCATCAAACTCATTGTTCATCCAGTTTTGTTCCCTTGCTGCAAGGAGTTGTGATCCTTTGGAGAAGAAGAGGCATTCTGGTTTTTGGAATTTTCAGCCTTTTGCACTGGTTTCTCCCCATCTTCGTGGATTTATCTATCTTTGGTTTTTGATGTTGGTGACCTTCAGATGGGGTCTCTGAGTGGACGTCCTTTTTGTTGATGTTGATGTTATTACTTTCTGTTTGTTAGTTTTCTTTCTAACAGTCAGTTCCCTCTGCTACTGGTCTGCTGGAGTTTGCTGGAGGTCCACTCCAGATCCTGTTTTCCTTGGTATCACCAGCAGAGGCTGCAGAACAGCAAAGATTTCTGTCTGTTCCTTCCTCTGGAAGCTTCGTCCCAGAGGGGAACCAGCCAGATGCCAGCCAGAGCTCGCCTATATGAGATGCCTGTCAGCCCCTACTGGGAGATGTCTCCTAGTCAGGATACACAGGTGTCAGGGACCCACTTGAGGAGGCAATCTGTCCCTTAACAGAGCTCAAACGATGTGCTGGGAGATTTGCTGCTCTCTTTAGAGTAGTCAGTCAGGGATATTTAAGCCTGCTGAAGCTGCCCCCACAGCCACCCTTTCCCCTAGTTGCTCTGTCCCAGGGAGATGGGGATTTTATCTATAAGTCCCTGACTGGGGCTGATACCATTTGTTCAGAGATGCCCTGCCCAGAGAGGAGGAATCTAGAGATGCAGTCTGGCCACAGCACCCTTGCTGAGGTGCAGTGGGCTCCACGCAGTTCCAACTTACCAGTGGCTTTGTTTACACTGTGAGGGTAAAACCACCTACTCAAGCCTCAGTAATGGCCGAAGCCCCTCCCCCCACCAAGCTCGAGCATCCTAGGTCGACCTCAGATGGCTGTGCTGGCAGCAAGAATTTCAGGCCACTGGATCTTAGCTTGTTGGGCTCCGTTGGGGTGGGACCTGCTGAGCCAGAGCACTTGACTCCCTGGTTTCAGGCCCCTTTGCAGGGGAGTGAATGCTTCCTTCTCGCCGGCATTCCAGGTGCCACTGGGGTATGAAAAAAAAAAAAACCTTCTGCAGCTAGCTCAGTGGCTTCCCCAAAAGGCTGCCCAGTTTTGTGCTTGAAACCCAGGGCCCTGGTAGCATAGGCACCAGAGGGAGTCTCCTGGTCTGCCGGTTGTGAAGACTGTGGGAAAAGCACAGTATCTAAGCCAGAGTGCACCGTTCCTCCCGATATAGTCTCTTATGGCTTCCCTTGGCTAGGGGAGGGAAATCTCCTGACCACTTGTGCTTCCCGGGTGAGCTGACACCCCATCCTGCTTTGGCTTGCTGTGGGCTGTACCCACTGTCCAACCAGTCCCAATGAGATGAACTAGGTACCTCATTTGGAAATGCAGAAACCACCTGCCTTCTGCGTTGATCTTGATGGGAGCTGCACACCAGAGCTGTTCCTATTCAGCCATCTTGCCAGCGAGCTCGAGAATTTTGTTTTTATTATTAATGCTTAGTACCATGAATTATATTCCTAGTGCTATGATTTGGCATACTACATTGCCATTTTACATTGTTTAGAAATAACCAGGAGTTATTTGTCCTGGATTAATAATAAGAACTATATTTGAGAAATCACAGCAGCACGTGACTACAATTTTTTAAATGAAGATACCATGCAATGGTACCATTCTTATAATCTAATGCAGATAATTATTTCTTGTCTTTAATCTATTATATATATTTTACATTACAAATTGTCATATGAATTGTGTATCTTTGTTTCCCTTCTATTACTTTTAAGACTCCTGTCCCAGAAACCTAATTAACCTGATTATTATAAACACAAATTCAAGGAAAAAAGGTTTCCCAACAGTAGAAATGATCTAAAAACCATGTGCTTTAGAGTTTAGTATTAAGGCTCAGTACTTGAGTTCAGGTTTCACTTATGTTTTACAAAATGAAATGTTAATATATGCTTTATTAATTTTAATAAATTATTTTTATTTAAAAAACTAAATACATTAAATAAAAATCAAAAACAGTATCTACTATCAACTATCACCATTATAAAAACAAGAACCTTTGAAATAAATGAAGATTGGATAAATTTAGCCTTACAGAAAATTTGTTCTTTTGATTTTTAACTTTGAGCTTTTAAATTATACTTTTATATAAATGATAAATTCAACGTGGTTCCAGCACTTAAAGTACACAAAAAAAATTCAGTCCAGTCTTCCCATTTTGTTCACTCATATGCTCAGTTCCCTTTCTCTCTCTCTCTTTTTTTTCACCTTTTAAAATATGTTTTTTCTTTTAACTTCTATTTTAAGTTCAGGAGAACATGTGCAGGTTTATAGGTAAACTGTTGTCCTGGGGGTTTGTTGTACAGATTATTTCATCATTGAGGTATTAAGCCTAGTACATATTAGTTACTTTTCCTCATCCTCTCCCTTCTTCCACCCTCTACCCTCCAATAGGCAATAGACCTAGTGCATGTTGTTCACCTCTATGTATCCAGCTATTCTCATCCTTTAGCTTCCACTTCTAAGTGAGAACATGTGGTATTTGATTTTCTTTTTCTGTATTAGTTTCCTAAGGATAATGGCCTCCAGCTCCATCCATGTCCCTGCAATAGACATGTTTTTGTTCTTTTTCATGGCTGTGTAGTATTCCATTGTGTCTATGTACATTTTCTTTATCCAATCTATTATTGCTGGGTATTTTGGTTGATTCCATGTCTTTGCTATTGTGAATAGTGTTGCAGTGAACATATATGTGTATGGTCTTTATTATAGAATGATTTATATTCCTTTGGGTATGTACCCAGTGATGGGATTGCTGGGTCGAGTGGTATTTCAGTCTTTAAGGCTTTGAGGAATTGCTACATTGCCATCCACGATGGCTGGACTAATTTACACACCCACCAATGGTGTATAAGCATTCCTTTTTCTCCACAATCTTGCCAGCATCTGTTATTTTTTTTTTTATTTTTTTTACTTTTAATAAATAGCCATTTGGACTGGTGTGAGATGGTATCTCATTGTGGTTTTGATTTGCATTTAATTAGTGATGTTGAGCATTTTTTTTTTTTTTTCATGGAGTCTTGCTCTGTCACCAGGCTGGAGGGCAGTGGTACGATCTCGGTTCACTGCAACCTCCTCCTCCAAGGTTTAAGCAATTCTCTTGCCACAGCCTCCCGAGTAGCTGGGACTACAGGTGTGCACCACCATGCCCAGCTAAGTTTTGTATTTTTAGTTGAGACAGGGTTTCACCATGTTGGCCAGGATGGTCTTGATCTCTTGACCTCATGATCCACGTGCCTCGGCCTCCCAAAGTGCTGGGATTACAGGCATGAGCTACCGTGCCTGGCTGAGCTTTTGTTTTTTTACATGATTTTTGGCCACGTGTCTGTCTTCTTTGGAAAAGTGTCTGTTCATGTCCTTTGCTCACATTTTTATAAGAAGGTTGTTTGTATATTTAAAGTGAAAAAAAAAGTGGGAATTTATTTGGAAGCTAAATAACTATTCCGAACAGTACTGCAAAAAGATAATGTGTGATAGAACTAGAGAGTGGTCAGTCTATTAAAACATAAGAAATGAAGAAATTTTGAATTTACTCAAATGTAAAGGCTAATGGCTGGGAAATTTTTTCTTGCCATTTTTCAAAGCCCAAGGTGAATAAATTAATATGCATTTTTAATTCATAATGTGTGAATGAAATTGAATTATAGAATTCTGAGAAGTATCTCAATAGAGTAATCATAGAGTCATTTCCTTTATAGACCATTTTTCATGGCTCTTTAATGTGTTTATATTAATTTAAACATTATCAGTTTCCCCTTTTTTTATCCCTATGAATAATAAGGATCTTAACAGAGAAAAATATGTACTGCAATGTAAACATACTTTTATGCCATTGCTGAGCTATGTCAGATTTAAGTTTGAACATTCACTATCATTATAATCAAAAGCATTTTTATAAGATCATTTTTTTAATAGTAAACTATAATATTTCAGGAGACATAGTCATAAACTTTATTTTTAAATTAAGTATATAACTGCAGTAAAAATAAGAATTAAATCTAAAAATTAAAAACATTAATAAAGCTAGAGAAACTTTAACAATGACAAATCAGTACTTTCCCAACTGCAGCATATAAAAGCCAAATGCTTCCATTAAATAGTTTCTTTGGAATCTACTTGACTTGTTTGTAAACTTACTGTGTGAAATATTGTTTTATTTTCTAGTTCAGTCATTTTTGACGTTTGACAGAGTATTACCAGGTGAGAGTCTTTGCAGTAAATTTGAGCCTATAGCAAACTTTCAAAGGTTCTAAACTATGATTTAAAAAGTGAAATATATTAATCCTGAAATTTCTAAACAAGACAAAGGCCTTATTCTATTATTTATAATATATTCAATAAGATACAAAGTCTTGAGATGCAAATAGTGTATAATTTTAATTCAAAAATTAAGATAACTAATATATTTTTCAGTATGTAAGTTTAATGGTTTCTCTGGTCATAATTTGGTTCACCTAAGCTTGAAATTTTTAGTAATATTAAGAGCTTATCAGAGGACAGCATCTGAATGAATGCTCATTTCTAACTATTAAATTCTGAGCTGTATTCACTTTTACTTTCCCTTTTTCTCATAAATATACATTTAGATACACATGTAATTACTAGTATAATATTGTATGCTCGTAATGATTAGGTTATTTTTGTTCACCAAATTGAATGTTCTTCAATGTACTTCTCTTCTTGTTCTTGGACCCTTAGTATCTTTTTGTTATCATTTTTCCCCAACTTATTCCTAAGGAGGACAGGCTGCAGAACACAAAAGGCATGTAAAATATATCACAAATCTTTATAGATTACTTTGTTAGCTTTGGTCCCTAGAAGAGCAATTCTTCTTAATGTTTTGATATCTGCAGATAAGGCAAGGTAATTGATGTCTGAGAGAAAAAACTGCAAGAAACAGGCCAAAGATGGAAAAATGTAGTGCCTTGATGGGAAGGATGAGTGTATTAGCTTTTCTTCTATTTTTCATTGATAATTTACTGTAATTATGTAATTTTTTCTTTAAGTATTAGTGACTATGTAATCTATACAGTACTAAGATATATAGGCATGAGTAACTTTTGATGAATAAGGTGACATTCTTTCCTACTAATTTTTAAAATAAATTTTATTGTATATATTTAAGGTATGGGCCACATGATGTTATGAGATACATGATGTTATGAGATACATATGGGTAGTAAAATAGTAACTATAGTGAAGCAAATTAACATCCATTATCACATATAGTTACCCATTTTTCATCTGTGTGTAGCAAGAGCAGCTAAAATCTATTCATTCACCAAAAGTCCCAAATACAATGCAATATTTTTAACTATAATCCTCATGTTACACATTAGGTCTGTAGATTTGTTTATTCTAAATATCTGATGCTTTGTATCTCTTGACCTAAATCTGCACATTTTTTCCCCACCCACAGCCTCAGACCTTGCTTGGCTTTATAACCACAGATTTGGTGTCTATTTCTGTGTATTTGAGTTCATTTTGTTAGAGTCTACCTATAAGTGAGATAATCACATATGTTTGTGTCTAACTTATTTCACTTAGCATAATATCTTTCAGTTTCATCCAGGTTGTAACAAATGGCAGGATTTCCTTCTTTTATAAGGTTGAATAGCATTGTGTTTGTATGTACACAAACATAATTTCTTTATAATTTTGCCCATGTTCATTGCAGCATTATTCATAATAGCCAAGATATGGAAAAATCCTATTACTTTTTGGATTGATATTTATGAAAATATTTGAATTACTGTACTATAAATAAGTAGAATAAATCAAATCAGCCTCCAAATCCAGTTGCATACCCTGACCAGTTTGAAGCAAGAATAATATATTCAAGAAAATCATTTAAATTATCTCTACTTCTCTCTCTCTCTCTCTCTCTCAGATGCCTGTACCAGTCAAGAATTTTACTGGCTGCATAGAAGTTATAGAAATAAATAACTGGAGATCTTTCATTCCATCCAAGGCAGTGAAAAACTATCACATTAACAATTGCAGGTAAAATAGCAGTAGTGATTTTTCTAATAACTTGTTCAAATAACCACACCAAAAGATATCATTTCCAATTGAAATAATCTAATGAAGGCTGCACTATATTTCGTTTCTTTGTTTTTGCTTCACATTCCTACGTTCTACTTCACTCTTTTACAGTTTATTGAATTTTTAAGTTATATCCCAATTAAGATGGACCATTACTTATAAAGGGTATCTTTTTTGTGCTATATAAAATATACCATCCAACAAATAATGAGTCACAATCAGAAAACATCTTCTATCAGAGTTAGTTTAAAAATGAAGCATGCTGACAAGCATGCCTGTGTTATATTGTGTGGAGTGCTAAAATACATTCTTTTTCCAAATTATCACTCTCAAAAAGTTGTCCTTGTTCTTCAGTTTCCATTATGGGAGACGTATTTCTTTCAGACTCTGCTTCTGGATACAGAAATCTCCAAACATGGCTTTGAATTGGGTGAACTAAAGAGATAACACATTTGAGACAATATTAGTCATTCATGCATTGGTAAGAAGTGGTTAAAATTTTGTTTCTTCCCTGTTATTAAGAGGGAACTCAGACAATTAAAATGACCCCTTATAAAAGGGGTTATTTTGGGAGTATTATGGTAAATTGGAAACGCAGAAGTAAGATAGCATGGTGAGGTGGGTTATTTGATCACAGGACAGCATAAAAGCTCACATCTTAATCAATGTGAGGTTGCTCCTCATGCAAGCCCAGAGAAGCTCTAGCCATCTGGATTTTTGGACCCTCTTTTCCTTTAGAAGCCCTGTGGGATGACTTGAGCCTCACAGTTTTGATTTGCATTTCCCTAATTATTGTTATTGAGCATCTTTTCATGTATATATTGGATGTTTGTATATCTTCTCTTGAGACATTTCTATTTGATTTTTTGTCCATTTTCGAATTGGATTGTTTCTTTGTTGTTTAGTCTTAGGAGTTCTCTATATATTCTGAATATTAATCCCTTATCAGATATATGATTTGCAAGTCTTTTCTTCCATTCTGAGTTGTCTTTATACTCTGTTAATATATTTTGATGCACAATTTCTTTTTAGTTTTCATGAAGTCTAATGTCTGTTTTTTCTTTCATTGCCTGTGCATTTGGTGTCATATCCATATCCAAGAAATAACTGCCAAATTCTATGTTGTGAGCCTTTTTCCCTATGTTTTCTACTAAAAGCTTTAAAGTTTCAGCTTTTTAATCCATTTTTAGTTAATTATTGTATATGGTGTTAGGTAAGGGTCCAACTATTTGGGTCATTCTGTTGTATGTGGATATCCAGTTTCTCCAACACCATATGTTCACAAGACCAGACCATTCTTCCCCCATTGAATGTATGTGGCACCCTTGTCAAAAATCATATACATAAGGGTTTATTTCTGGGCTTCTCATTCTACTCCATTAGTCAATATGTTGGTCTTTATGCCAATACAAAAAGGTTTTAATTACAAAGGTAGCATTGTAATTAAGTTTTGAAACAGTAAGTGTGAGACCACCAGTCTTGTTATTTTTCAAGATTGTTTTGTATGTTCAGAGTACATTGAGATTCTACAGGAATTTTAAGTGGATTATTTTTTTATTTCTGAAAAAAAAAAATCACTGGGATTTTGTTGGGGATTGCACCAAATCTGTATATCACTTTTTTCCAATTCATAAACATGAGATGTGATTCCATTTATTTATGTCTCTATTTCTTTCAGCAATGTTTAGTAGTTTCTATTGTAGAAGACATTCACTGCTTTGGTTAAGTCAACCAAAAGTAAACTGCATTTCTACCCACTAAGCATGAGCAATCTGAAAAAGTAATTACAAAATCAATTTTATTTACAATATCATCAACTAAGTTCAGTTAATTGAGTCTTCTTTTTATTTTCCTTAATCCATCTAACTAAAGATTTGTCAATTTTGTTGAGTTTTTCAAACAACCAACTTTGTTATCATCAATGTCATCTCTACTTTGGGTTTAGATTGTTCTTTCTTCTTTTTTAGCTTATTAAGTTTTAGTTAACTTGTTGAATTTGAGATCTTTCTTATTTTTTAACACAAGCATTAATGGCTATGAATTTCCCCCTTACCACTGCTTTCACTGCATCTCGTACATTTTGGTGTGTGTTGTATTTTCATTTTTATTTGTCTCTATTTTCTACTTTCCATTATAATTTATTTCTTGATCCTTTGGTTGTTAAACAGAATGTTGTTCAGTTTCCACAAATTTATAAATTTTCTGGTTTTACTTCTGTTTTTGATTTTCAACTTTAACCATTGTGATCAGAAAAGATAATTTATATGACATATGTCCTTCCATCTATTGAGATTTAATTTGTGGCCTAACATATAGTCTATCCTGGAAACCATTGTGATCAGAAAAGATAATTTATATGACATATGTCCTTCCATCTATTGAGATTTAATTTGTGGCCTAACATATAGTCTATCCTGGAAAATGTTCCACATGCTTTTAAGAATGTGTATGCTGTTGTTGTTGTGTAGTATGTTCTGTGTATGTCTGTTAGATCTAGTTGGTTTGTTGTGTTAAGTCCTCTATTTCCTTACTTATCTTTTACATCGTTGCTCTATTAATTATTGAGAGTGGCTATTTAATTCTCCACTATTATTGTACAATTGTCTATTTCTCCCTTAAATTCTGTCTTTTTTGCTTCATATATTTTGATAATCTGTAATCAGCTAAGTGTTTATATGCCAGGTCTGTCCCACAGAAGCTGACCCAGTGACAGATGAAAGATGTACAGGGACACAGATATTTTGCCTGTCAGTGTGGCTAAGGGGCTCTGCTGTCAGAGTCTGCAGCATCGGCCTCAAAAGCTGGTGAAGTTCACGTTTATTTAGTGCAGATTAAATGACAAAAGTCTCCAGTAAACACCACTAGAGGGTAATTAACATTGCCACATTGCCAAACCCCTGAGTAGAGAGCAATCATTCACCCACGATGATCAAAAGTTGGTCTTAGGACCACATGGGTAAACAAGCTATTTAGATAAACTCCCTTACATTCCTTTGTATGTACTTTAAGCTATTAACTCAAGGTAAGAGGATTAGGCTGACTTCAGCCGTAACCCTACCCTGAGGCTTTTTTTTTTTTTTTTTTTTTGAGACGGAGTTTCGCTCTGTCGCCCAGGCTGGAGTGCAGTGGCGCGATCTCGACTCACTGCAAGCTCCGCCTCCCGGGTTCACGCCATTCTCCTGCCTCAGCCTCCCGTGTAGCTGGGACTACAGGCGCGCGCCACCATGCCCGGCTAATTTTTGTATTTTTAGTAGAGACGGGGTTTCACCGTGTTAGCCAGGATGGTCTCGATCTCCTGACCTCGTGATCCGCCCGTCTCGGCCTCCCAAAGTGCTGGGATTACAGGCGTGAGCCACCGCGCCCGGCTATCCTAAGGCTTTTACAAAACCTACTGACCTTCTAATAAGGTTTGTGTTTATTTTACAATTTTTCCCACCACCCTGACTGAACTCTTGTATCTCCCCCTTTTCTGTTATTTTGCATCAGGCTTTGTTGATTGAAGAGTACAGATGTGTGTAGCAACAGGCCTGTCAGGCATGCTGGTCACTGCTCGTATTCCAGCTTTGAATCCTAGAATTAGTAAATAACATAAGACAAACATGAGTATTATTAGCAACATTCTTTTCCAATCAAGGAGTGACCTGTAGTGTTACTTGGCACTTTAGTTCCATGTGTGCTGTTACTAAGGAACCCCACTGGGGGTATGATAATCTCTCTTGGCCAAGCAGTTGCAATGTTAGAAGCCGGAAGTCGGTGCTTAAGTGTAGCAGGTACCACATGCAGGCAGAGTGAGAGAATTTTAAAAAGGTTAATAAAGCATAGCAAGTAACACATTACCTGGAGTGAATGATGTGTGTGTCTGGAGCAGGATTTGTTCAGCCTCTTGAGTTGTCTTTTTCAGCATGGGGATGCGGGTCCTGTAGGGTCCTTTTCTTCATTTCTGGTACTGGGTTGGGTCCTAGCCATGCCATGGTATGGTTTGATGCATCGTGCTGGAATTCAAAGAGGACCTGAGGGGGTGTGAAAACAAGCATATCCTCTTTTTCATGTTAGCAATTCATTTGTACCACACCATTCATTATTGTTTACATCTTTCCATAAAAGTGCAGGTTTTATGTCTTGAGAGGTTTTAGCAAAGTGCTTTTCCATTGCTGATTGAAATTTATCTAAATTTTAAAAATTAAGGGTAAATAAGGCTTGTGCTACTAGTGTTGCAGGGTCCTTACTCATACTCCCCCTTTTTTGAGCATATTTTTAAGGATGGAGTGGGCACGTTCTATGGCCTGTCCTTGGGGGTTATTTGAGATGCTTATGGAATGTTGGATATTCCACGTGTGACAAAATTGTTGAAATTGTGAGCTGGCATAAGCTGGACCATTATCAGTTTCAATTTTTGTGGGCTGCCCCATAAATGCAAAAGTTGAAAGGAGATGTTTAATGACATATCAGGTGGACTCTCCAGGAAGAGCATGTGCACTAATTAGATAAGTGTTGGTATCAATTGATCCATGTACATATCTAAGTTTCCAAATTTAGGGATGTGTGTAACATCTGTTTGCCATAACTGATTAGAGGACTAGAACCCTCTAGGGTTAACACCTGTTGAAAGAGGGGATGTGCCTGTGAGCTGGCAATCTGGGCATTGCAGGATACTTTGTTTAGCTAGTCTCTGGGTAAGTTGAAATTGTTTAGGTAAGTTTCTCCAGTTTTGGTGGAAGAATTGATGTGATTGGGTGGCTTGGTCAAGCAGTGACGTCACAACCTGAAGGTCTGGTTGATCATTGCCATAAGCCAATAAACCGGGCAGTGAGCTGTGGGCTCGAATGTGTGTAATAAAAATAGGATGTGTACGTTGATTTAGCAATTGGTGAAGTCAGAGGAAAAGTGCACACAGGGTGTGCTTTAGAGTGGACTTAATTAGCGCTGTCTCAAGGTTCTGCAGTAAATAAACAGAGTAAGCAGAGTCGCTAACAATATTGATGGGCTGAGCGGAAAAAGTCTCCAAAGCCAATATTAAGGCCCCAACCTCAGCTTTTTGAGTGCTAGTAAACCCAGAACAATGGAGGAAATTATGTGGTCTCCACCAAATGGCCACTTTCCCATGTTTACCAGAACCGTCAGTAAACAGTGTTAAAGCGTTAGGTATGGGGGAGTGAACTATTTTTGTAGGTAACATCACAGAAGTACCAGATAAGAACTGAAGGGGTTTATCAGCAGGAAGGGCAAGGTCTACATGGCCTGCGTAATCAGAGATGGCTATTTGCAGATCTATAGATAATGGCAATACTGCTTCAAATTGCTTTTTACTTAAAGGAATCCTGATGATATCAGGATCATAACCTAGCAACTGATTGCATTGTCTGAAGCCTGAATATATGACTTTACTGATTATAGGGAAAGTGTTTTAGTTCCGGTATGTGAGCAAAAAACCCATTCTAGAAAGCATAGTACTGGGGCCATCTGTCCTATTAACCCTGTAGGGTAGTGTTTAGTGGGAAAAATAAACAATTGAATTGAATAGACTGGGTCTATGCAATCTTGTTGCCTGTGAGAAATGGTCTGTTCTGTTTCCTTGATTTTCCTTTTTGCCACAGGAGTTAAATACCTGGGAGAATCCAGGGCTCAATTGCCCTTTAAGATAGAAAAGAGATTTTGCAACCTATCAGTAGGTAGGCCCAAGGTGGGCCAAAGCCAGTTAATATCGCCTAGTAAATTCTGATAATCATTTAAGGTACGTAAGTTTTTAGTATTTAATTTAAGCTTTTGAGGTCTTACTGACCAGGAAGTTAGTATGTACCCAAGATATTTCCAAGGAGGAGACATCTGTAATTTTTCAGGCGCAATCATTAAATCTCTTAACTGTGTATTCTTTATGACAGAGGTATCTAACTTTGAAAGTACTGGCTCTGTTGGGGCTGCTAGTAAAACATCATCCATAAAATGAATAACCTTGCAATCAGAAAATTCTTTTCTACTAGAGAGCAAAGCTTGATTTACATGATACTGACACATGGTAGGACTGTTTAGCATCCCTTGAGGACACCCTTTTTAATGAAATCAGCAACCTGGCTTTTCATTATTGATAGCCAGTATTGTAAATGCAAATCTTTCTCTGTCCTGTTCTGCTAATGGAATGGTATAGAAGCAGTCAATAAAGATTGTAGGCCAATCTTGAGGAATCACTGCGGTGGAGGGAAGGCCCTGTTGAAGGGGCCCTATAGGTTGCAAATTAGCATTAATAGCACGTAGGTCATGCAAAACCTTCATTTACCAGACTTTTTGGGAATGACAAAAATGGGCGAATTCCAGGGGCTGTTTGATTGTTCCATATGGCTGGCTTTTAATTGCTCCTCAACTAATTCATGGGCTCTTTTTAATTTCTCTCCCTCCAGCAGTTACTGTTTTACTTAAATGGGATTTGGAGTCGTTTTAGGAGTAAGGGAGAAATAACAACAGTGGCCATTATCAGAAAGAGGTCTTTTAAATTCTTCAATTTTACTTATATCTTAGCAGAGAATTATACTCTGGGATGTCGCTTGTATACAAGAAACACAAGAAATTTTGCCATGGGCTGCCCACGGAGCTAGACGGCAGCAGTGTTGCACTTGCCTAGGTGCTGCTTTTTGTCTGTGTTGCTTCTGCCCCCTGCCGCGGCCCCTGTCGGCCTGGGGTGTCATGAGCTTCCCCACTACCAAGCTTTTTCTTCCACCCATCACAAACTTGGCCACGTGGCTCCAGCCTCTAATGCCTTTTCTTATTTTTTTATAAGCATTAAAATAAATGGGTTTATATACCTGATTGCCTTGTTGATCTTGCATTACCAGGTAGGCTAAGAACTCCCCTTCTAATGCCACTTGCCTAAGATAGGGTCCCATAACTAGGGTATCCCTTGTCTTTTTCCCAATTTATTAGAGGAGGGGACTCAGGCAAACCTCCATTTCCTCTTTGTTATTTTGGCCTGGTGATAGCGTGTCTGAGGGACAAGGAGGTGGTAAGGTAGGTAACAGTTCTTCCTCCTTCTCCTTTTTAGGCTCTTCTGTGTATAATGGGACCAGAGCCAACCTCACCAAAGCCCATAGTGTTAGAGATGATACTGGGACCCACTGCTGATGATGTTAAGATTTCTCCACACTTGTTCCCAGAGCTCTATGTTTAGCATACCTTCTTCTGAAAACCATTGGTTATGGAATACAACAGTTTGCATTAAGTCCCTTAATTGAGCCTGCAAAACTGAGGCTTCACCAGCTTTAAGCAGCTGTTTCAATAATTTTATGTACTGTTTCTGTTGAGCTGATAACTGTTGTCCCATGATGAAATCCTAGCCTGAACAATCCCTGTGAACTTGGAAATCCCAAGCAGGCACCAATGACTTACTGACTGCACAGTCCTTTTCACCTTCGTTTTCAAGGGTTCCGTCACAATCACCAGTCCGTTGCAGCGTTCCTCACACGAGGCACCACCTGCTGGGGTCTGACCCACAGACCTAGGCTGCACAATGGATGAATAATGTACTCAGACACTGATATTCAGTGAAAGAGTAGGCCAGGGGGCTGTGCCAATCACAGAGTTGTAGCAGCCGCATGCACACTCTGACTAGCTGGCTCTGCAGGCATTTATTCAGTACAGATTTAATGACAAAGGCTTTGAGTTAACACGCCTTTGGGTAATTAATCTGGTCACCCTCTCCCAGAGAGATCAGTTCTGTGAATGATCAAAGGTTGGTCTTAGGACCACATGAGTAAACAAGCTATGTAGATAAACTCCCTTACATTCCTTTGTACCTACTTTAAGCTATTAACTCAGGGTAAGAGGATTAGGCTGCCTTCACCCATAACCCTATCCTTAGGCTTTTGCAAAACCTTCCGGCCTTCCAAGAAGGTTTGTGTCTATTTTACAATTTTTCCCACCACCCTGACTGAACTCCTACATTTATATATGTTGTTATATCTTCTTGCTGTATTGAGTCTTTTATTAACATATAATGTCCTTCTTTGGTTTTAACATTTTTTAATTTAAAGTCTATTTTGTCTGATATTAAGCTAGCAACCCCTAATCTCTTTTGGTTACTATTTGCATATAATATTTATTTTTTTCCATCCTTTCAGTTTTAATCTATTTAATATTTGTGGTTTTAGATCTAAAGTAAATCTTTGTTAGAGAGGATATAGTTGAAAAAAGTGTTTTTATCCATTCTGCAGGTTTCTGTTTTTTGATTCAAGAGTACAATCATTTATAATTAAAATAATTGCTAAGAAGCTATTTACTTCTGCTATTTTGTGATGTGTTCCTTATTCTTGATAGTTTTTGTCTCTCATTTTTTACATTACCATCTTTTTGTGTTTAGTTTATCTTTTATAGTGAAGTATTTAAAATTTTTTCTAATTTTATTTTGTATATAGCTATTTTCTTTGTAGTTACCATGCGATTAACAGCCTAAAGTCATTAACACTCTAAGTTGAGTTTATAACAAGAAAAACTCTACTCCTTTAACAGCTCTGTTCCCACTCCTTTTGATTGTTGATGGCACAAAATTACATCTTTATACATAACATCTTTATACATTGTGTGCCCCCCCCAACTAGTAATTTTTGAAATGCATTAGTCTTTTAAATTATTTAGAAAACAAAATATAAAGTTATAAACCAAAGTTATAACACTATTAGAACAATTTTAATGTATTAATCTGTTTAATTATTTAGAAAACAATTATTAGAAATTATTATAAAACAAAAAGTGCATTATAAGCCATTTAACTTTAATAATTGCCTATTAATTTACTCTTATTTCTTCATTCAACATACAGTTACTGTCTATGGTCTTTCATTTCACACTGCAGGATTCCCCTTGAGCATTTCTAGCAAGGAAGGTCCAGTGTTAACAATCTTTCTTAGCTTTTGTTTATCTGGGAATGTCTTAATTTCTACCTAATTTTTTTTTTTTTTTTTTTTTTGAGACAGAATCTTGCTCTGTTGCCAAGGCTGGAGTGCAGTGGCACTATCTTGGCTCACTGCAACCTCTGCCTCCTGGGTTCAAGTGATTCCACTGCCTCAGCCTCCTGAGTAGCTGGGATTACAGGCACACACAACCACACTTGGCTAATTTTTGTATTTTTAGTAGAGATGGTGTTTCACAATGTTGGCCAGGCTAGTCTCAAGCACCTGACCTCAGGTGATACACCTGCCTCGGCCTCTCAGAGTGCTGGAATTACAGGTGTGAGCCATCACACCCAGCTCTATCTAACTTCTGAAAGGACTGTTTTGTCAAATATAGAATTATTGGTTTACAGAGTTGTTTTCTTTCAGTGTTTTGAATATTTTAAACTTTTGTCTTCTAGCCTGTAAAATTACTGATGAGAAATCTATAATTTTATTGGGATCCTTGTATGTGAAAAGTCATTTTCTTTTGCTGCTTTTAAGATTTTCACTTCGTCTTTAGTTTTCAAAAGTCTGGTTTTAATATGTATCCATGTAGCTCTGAGGTTGTTGTTTTACATGGAGTTTCTTAAAGACTTCTCAAGTCTTCTTTTATAAACCCTTTCCTGGGCATGGATGGCCATTTTTAAATTTTCCTCATATATGCAGTTATTTTTGAATGTTCCAATCTTTAATGGCTAGCTTCCAAAAGTGTGAAAAGAGACAAACAATGAGGAGAAAAATAGTTCAAGGTGGTGGGGAGTAACAACAATGGGGGGGAAGTGTGACAATGACCACCATCTAGTTCACTGATCATCAGCTCTATTATCAGAAGCAGTAATCAGTGATCAAAGCACAGATGTCTAATATGTGAAGAAGAGGATCCTTTCTGTCCACCATGGCCGTCACAAGCTGTGTGCAGACTACACCAGAAACATGCACACAACTGCCTGCCACATGACTAAGAAGTGGGACGTGTGTGCATGCTACTGTTTTAAGAGCTGAAACTGACCAAAATTAATCACAATTTAATTTAGAAGCCTTCACCTGGAAGGTTGTAAACCTTCAATAGACTTCACTATTTCAAAATAGTTACATCAAAAATATTCTAGGCCAGACGTGGTGGCTCATGCCTGTAATCCCAGCACTTTGGGAGGCCCAGGCAGTTGGATCACGAGGTCAGGAGTTCAATACCAGTCTGGCCAATGTGGTGAAACCCCGTCTCTACTAAAAATACAAAAGTTAGCCTGGCTTGGTTGCACACACCTGTAGTCCCAGCTACTCGGGAGGCTGAGGCAGGAGAATTGCTTGAACCCAAGAGGCAGAGGGTGCAGTGAGCCAAGATCACACCATTGCACTCCAGCCTGGACAACAGAGTGAGATTCCGTCTCAAAAAAAAAAAAAAAAAAAAAAAAAATATATATATATATGTATATATATATATATATATATATATATATATATATATATATATTCTGCCAGTACAATTGTTGTCTAGGTGGGGAGATAGGTTTACTAGTGCTCTCTACTCTGCCTTATTTCCTTTATTAATTCTTATAAAATGATAAACTCATAAGTTAACATGAATAATATAGCATAGCATGTTTTATGAAAAACAGTTTTACTTTTCCAAAACAAATAAAAGTAATGATAAGAATGGCGCTGTTATATGTATCAGCAAACATATTTAATACCTGCTTTAATAAATACAGCTGGATTCTCATATGTGCTTCTGCATTCAATCTGTCCTGTAATTATTTTGCTGAAGTAGTTGGAGAAATTCTGGCCTCCCAACACATACATATTTTGAAAAGATAGAAGAGTTTTAATAGACTTTTCAAATAATTTAGAGTACCCCTCTTTGATATTATGCCAAAACTTGATAACTAATAAATTGTTAAAGGTGAGTTAAAAAGTGGAATGTAAAACCCAATCAATGGGCATTTTATACTCAATTAAATTAACATTCATTGCTCTATCTGCATTTTGAATGGATCTTTTACTCATGCACAATTTTTTGCTGCCAAAATATTGGTCTCTTGAGTTATTCAGCTCTACCAAATGTCAACATATATCTTTATAAAATATTTAAAAATAATATTTGTTAATATCCCCTCCAGTCTCATCAGAAAAGTTTTTAAGTATTGTATAGCTGTCATTCTGACCATGGTGGATGACTTACCCAAAATTCTGAAATATGCTTGAAAGTTCGAATTGTAACATTGGCAACAAATGCTGTTAGCTGTTTTCTTTGGAGTGGCAGACCCATTTTCTTTTTTTTTTTTTGGAGACGGAGTCTGGCTCAGTCAGCCAGGCTGGAGTGCAGCGGCGCGATCTCAGCTCACTGCAAGCTCCGCCTTCTCGGTTCACGCCATTCTCCTGCCTCAGCCTCCTGAGTAGCTGGGACTACAGACGCCCGCCACTGCACCCGGCTAATTTTCTTCTTCTTTTCTTCTTCTTTCTTCTTCTTTCTTCTTCTTTCTTCTTCTTTCTTCTTTCTTCTTTCTTCTTTCTTCTTTCTTCTTCTTCTTCTTCTTCTTCTTCTTCTTCTTCTTCTTCTTCTTCTTCTTCCTCTTCTTCCTCTTCTTCTTCTTCTTCTTCTTTCCTCTCCTTCCTCTTCTTCTTCCTTCTTCTTCTTCTTCTTCCTTCTTCTTCTTCTTCCTTTCTTCCTTTCTTCCTTTCTTCCTTCTTCTTCGTTTTAGGGTACATGTGCACAATGTGCAGGTTTGTTACATATGTATACATGTGCATGTTGGTGTGCTGCACCCATTAACTAAAAAAACGGCTAATTTTTTAAATATTTTTAGTAGAGACGGGGTTTCACCATGTTAGCCAGGATGGTCTTGATCTCCTGACCTCGTGATCCCCCCGCTTCGGCCTCCTAAAGTGCTGGGGTTACAGGCGTGAGCCACCGTGCCCGGCCAGACCCATTTTCTTTTTGAGAAAATGTCTACCCAATAACCCAAGAATGCATAACCATAGCTGAATATTAGTTATTCTTTCATGTAAAACTGTGTTCCACAAAAATTAGCAGCTAGTTGGTCTTACACATCAAAAATGACTCATGCTTCTCCTTGAGGCAATCATCTTACTCCAGCATACAGCAGAAATACATTATGCATACCCCCCTTTTCATCATACACTTTATTAAAAAGGCATGTAATTCATAACTTATATTTGAATAAAGTTAGTGTTACCACTGTTTCAAGTATAATCTTAATTTTTTAAATTAAAGTGATAATACTCTTATCTAGTACAGGTGGTGCCACTATTTGTATCATACTAAGCCATCAGTAGTTTTATCCACTATTATCTTTGACTATCAGTGCAAGTATAACCACAGTGAAAAAGTCAAATAACATTTAAATAACCCCCAGATGACACTATGAGAATTGAAGCTCTCCACTAATTTGTCTGGTGGCTCCGTTTACTTGATTATTACAGCAAGGCTCATCTGGACAGATGGTCCTTGGAAGACGACATGTGATGCAGGATTTTATTACAGGGAATGTAGTCTTACCTTACTATTTTATATTAATTATATCACTGAGGTTCTGTTATTGAGAAGCTAAAAGTCCTACTCACATGAAGGAAGTAAGGTGACTATCACCACAAATTATAAATCTCTTGCCTGATGCTCAGTGACACATTTTTTAAATTTATCAAAATATTTAAATTTTTAGAATAGCATGATCTATTTCCTCACCTCTTCTTTGCAGTCAGCTTTATGCTGATATAAGAAAATCTAGCAATAGTTCTTAACATAGCATTGACAGAGAAACTGATTCACCAGTTTGGTATTTTGGTTTTTATTTGGTGATGGGGATTGTTATTTGGTTTTATGTTTGCTTGAATCATTTTACCAAGGTTTTTTCCAACAGTAAAGTTGATACTAATTATATCTGTGTATATGACAAACTTTGGATTAACTCTTATAGCATTTTCTATCTCTATTTTATAGTCACCTACATTTGTTTCACCTGTGTTCTTAATAATTAGGTAGCGTATACCTCAGGCACAAAAATTTTATTATCACATATTTGCTTATGTCTTATGCCTAAAATATGAAAGATTGATTTCTCATTCAGGCAGAGTAGACAGGTACGATATTAAGAACAGCTAAATCAGTTATTCTACCTCTAGTTTCTTCCCTACAGAAGCACTCACATGTAATCTAATGACTCTCTGAATAGCCTTATTAGAAATAGTAGGAACATTGCAAAGCAGAGAAATGGACGTTTAAAAATGTAATAAATAAAATGGAATAGTAATACTTATAAGTCAGAGAAAAGAATAAAATACATCTCTATGCATCAATATGGATAATTTTAAAAAATACTTTGTTAAAAAAAATTAACTACAAGAAACATAGCATTTACATACACCTTTAAAGCTACCTTATATCCAAACACCATCTTACCCTTTATTACACATTCTCAAATTTTTCCATATAAGGATAATGACTCAGGACTAAATGTTATGTTACCCTGCCATCCTCTTTTAAATAATTACTATTCCTGAAGGAATGTGTTGTGATAATAGGCAGAAGTATTTTAATAGAAGGAAATGATACAGAAACCAAAGATAGAAAGCACCAGAGATCATTTTCCACTTTTATCCACCCCCACATATCATCTCAAAATATCATTAATGTCACTAAATTGGACATGATTTGCTTTTCAAAAGGGAGTAAGTTATAAAGCATATAACATGTTTTTATACATTTGTGGTAACTATCTAGAAACCCTACTTTTAAGCAAACATTCATTTTAAATGTTTGTACACATACATGTATTTGGCTACTCTTTAAATAATAGCAATAAAGTGACCAGTTTTGTGAAATCATAATTTCCCAAAATGAATCGAGCCTTTATTCCATGTGCAAATTCTGTCCTTCCCATTTCACAAGGGAATTTAAGATTAAATGCATAGTTTTTGTTATAGTCTCTGCTTACATTTTTAAAGTAAAGTGACATATTGATATCATTAACAGTCTGATTCTAAAGCTTAGAAACGATCATATAGAACTGTAAAGAAGAACAACGACACTGGAACCATACATTGAATAGTGGTTGTATTACTTATTTCCTATGTGACTTCATAGTTTCCTCATCTATAAATGGTGATGATAACAATAATACTGACCACAGAGTATTGCATGATTTGATGTATATTTTTTAAATCCTCAGAATGGGGCCAAATACATAGCATATATGTTATCATTTCTAGTTATTGTTATTGTACTTGTTGTTTGTCATTTGTTTCTCCTCAACCTAAAAGTCAACGTAGTCCCTTTTCCTGAATTTTTCCAAAAAGCAACTAACACAAAATTTGGTTGGGGAGGGGTCACAAAGAAGAGGTCAGATATTTCAGAAAACAGCACAAAAAAACAAAGATGTAAATATAAATATATATTAGCTATCCTCGATCTTAGAAATACCTTGACTACTCTTACCTCAAATCTTAAAGATCTGCTCTTGGATTCAGTCCCAACCTTATTCTAACTTCTGTGCCCTCCCTATAATCTGTTCTCAACTCATTATTCCGGAAACCCTTAACCCCTAGCTCTCTAGCAACTCAATTTATTTTCTTTTATCATATGAAGAACAATTAACTTTCATAATATTATTTTTTAAACTTTTGGACCATGCCCCAGGACTAATATTTTTGCTATCAAATGTATTTCACAATCTAAAGGCTATTCCCAAAAGTAATTTAAGGTGTTTCTCCTTGTTACAGAGATTTAATTACAACACATGGTTAATATGCTGCAACTCCAGAAAGAGTGCCTCTGCCGTGTTACACAGATGGGAACTAGAGAGCTTAACTGCTGGTTTTGTGGAAGTGGGTTTGAGTTAAGCTGTTGTATTTCTGTGGAGAGGATTTAAAAGTCAGACACACCAAGTTTCAAAGTTCAGCTGTGTTGCTTACTACTGACATAATCTTAGGAAAATTACTTAACCTCTCTGTACTTCAGTTTCCTTACCAATAAAGTGGAGACAATAATATTGGTAATAATACGACTGATATAAGGAATAAATGATATTGTGTATAAGCCATGCACTTAGCACAATGTCTGGACACAAGAATTATTTCAATTTTGTTAACTGTTATAATCAGCCATCTTCATATATATTTGACAATATTCCCAATAAATTTACAAGAATAATCTTCTAAGAAGAATAACACTTTTCGTAAGAAATCCAAATGTCCTACCTTCATTTTTTAAAGTATCTACTTTATTTTTATTCCAGTAAAAAATAAATGAGAATAATACACTAAAATAAAAGAAAATAGAGACAAAGACACTTAAGAGCAGAGTACAAATACAAAATTCATAGACTTTTGTTATATGTTGGATTTATTTCTATTCCAATTTGACTTTTTAATTTTGCATAAGTTTTTAACTGAAATATAGTTTCACTTCCCTGCACTGTAAAAGTTTCCAATGTTCTATTCCTGTCTTTTTCAAATTTTTGTGCATTGTCTGCTTTACTTGACAATTGAAAGCTATCAATATTTATGTTTTAAAATCTATTTTAATACTTGGGAAATGAAACATTCAGGAAAATGAAACTATTTTCAGTTTTGCAATAAAATGAATATAGTTGTTTTACTTATACAAATATAATCCTATATGATATAATTTGAAATGAATCATTTTCAGATGTTACTATTTGAGGTTACATATTTTATTACTATAAACAATAAAAAGATTGTTCATTTTGGAATAATAGCATTCATGATAATGTTCATGATTAATGACAGCTCTGTTAAAACTATTGCATATATTTAAAACTGTGGTGACACTGATAAGAGTCATATCCTCTAGTCCCCTCAGGCATCTATATTTTCAATATCTGCTTTTGGTATTTACAGATGGCAGTCTTTCAAATGCTTATTATGGCCTTCAGAATAAAAGTTAAGTTTTCTACTAGCTTTGCAACAGAAGAGCTTATATACCCGCTCCGTAATATAAACTACTTCCCCTAGAAGTAGTTGCCAGCCATTGATACTTTGCTCAGTCTCCTCTATCCCTCTTGCATCTACTGGAACATAGCCATATCGAGTCATTTACATATTATCTGTGGTTGCTTTCAGGTTACAACCACAGTTGAGTAGTTGTAACAGAAATGCATGACCCACAAAGCCTAAAATATTTACCATTTGGCTCTTTATGGAAAAAGTTTGTCAATATCTTGTGTAAGAACGTAGAACATAGACCTAGTTCTCACCAATGAAGTATGAAGAGAAATAAATTATTGCCACTTACGACTCGAACATATGATACATGATTCTTTGGACTTTGTCATCTATTCTTTCTCCCCTCACCTTCGTTCTGGAAGAAGAGGACTCTAAGCCCCCCACCAAGAATGGCATCAAAGGATGGAGGTTTCCTAAGATCCTCTATTCTCTCAGTCCCATTGAATATAACCACCAGCATTAGACTGCTAAGCGAGCTAAAATGAATAATTAAGTTAGGCTACTAAAATTTGGTGATATATTTGTTACATCAGTGAAGATTATACAAACTAATGTAGGCTGCTAAAATTTTAACCTACCTAAGGTGTCAGGATATTTCTGTTTAGCCTTGAACACACTTACTGATCTGGTTCCATCATATTCCTCCAGCTTCCATCTCACTACTGTTCCATTCTGACCTGTTTTTTCTTCTACTTTATAATATTTTAACTCCTGCTATGCTGTGAAGATAAATAAAGTCCCTGTCATTAAGGAACTCACAGTATATTGGGGGGAGAACACATACACAGATAATTATAATAAAAGAGGGAGTTACAAATGATAAAAATACTTCCTTGGTTGCCATAACAATGCCTGTGATTGATGGATAGATACCAATAAACAGAGCAGAAGTCATTTAGTGCTATATGGCTGCGTAGTGCAAAGTCATCTATGCTGAGCTCATCCTGTCAGAGAGAAAACCTCCTTGGCCTTTAATTCCCAAAGGCATTCAGCTATACAACAGACACTGCTTGGTACAGTAGATAGTGCCTTTAAGTCTATCAGATAATTGTTGATTATTATTATCCAGCCTTCTCACCTTTTCTACAGACATTGCCAATTTGACTGCCTACTTACCAGGTATATGTACTTGTTACACCTCAAAGAATTCTGTGCGCTAAGGCACTATATAAATCAAAATTCAAATTTCTAAGAGTACCATACTATTCAGCCCCAGCAAGAAATGACCTCAGTTTGCCTGAGGTTTATTCCTGGAGTATTCATTCATTCATTCATTCATTTATTCACAGTAAATATATATTGACCTTTTACTACTACTGATGGTCAGATTATCGTCTAGGTACTGAGATATAAAGACAAAACAGTTCCACTCTGCTCCTCGTAAAGCATATATTTGTGTAGTTATTTTCAGGGAGTGGGTTTACGAGAGGAAAAATACCCAAACCCAGCACAAAGCAGGCATAACAGAATCAGAAACTGTACCACTATACCTGGTCTTCCTCCGTTAGAATCTGAAATACCGTTCAAGTATTTGGGAGAGGTAGAGCCTTCTCATAGGATGAGAACTCCTGCCATAGAGGGAAATTGGTGAATGAATATCGTATCCATTGAGTATGCTGGGATATGGGATACAACAAAACGAAGCAAAAGCAAGGGTCACTCTTCTAGTGGATATATAAGAGATTTTATGTTGCCCAAAAGACAGTCACCTTTCTCAGCCTGGTAATGTGTGGGCATGCTTTATAAAAGAAGGAATGCCTGAACTTTGTTCTAAAGTGGGAGTTTACCAGAAGAGGAAAGAGGAAAGCACTCTAGATAAGGAGCCAGAGATTTTTTAATATTGCCATGTTTGGTGTTGTGGAAACACACAAATTAAGGTGGGAAGTCATGATTGATAAGCCTGAAAACATAAGCTCAGAACAGATAATGAAGGCGTGATGGGTTAAAGAGCTTGGAGCTGCTGAGAATCAGGGTTAAGATATGCATTTTAGATGAAGCACCCGAATCACTTTATTGTAGATGTGGAGCCAAAAATGAAGAAATGAGACTGGAATTAGGAAAACCAGATAGGAGGTTTTTTGAATAAGAAAAAAATGAGTGCCTGAAGCAAGTCAGTGTTGGCAAAAATAGAGAGGAATGATGCATCTGCTCTTTAGAAGGAAATATGGCTAGATTTAGCGACTATGTTTCTAGCAGATTGAGGAAGAAAAGGAGGCATGAATGACTCCTAGAATTTTTACTTCAGTTTCAGGGTAAAAGTGGATAACATCAGCAGATACCACCAAAAGAGGAGCAAATTTTTATGATGTTTCAGCCTGGATTCTTCCTGTGCTACTACTTACTTTATTTAAAAATGCAATCATGTGGAGCACAAGAGAGAAAAGGAAAATAAAGTAGAGAGGACAGAGAGCTATATGAGGATGTGTTATCAGGCCAGATGCTGTCTGGTAATAAGTTGGACCAATGATTCAGTCTCACTGAACTCTCTTGTTGAAGGCCGTATAAATGACTTCCTCTTGTAACAGTTGCTCAAAGCAAAGAAAGAAAAAGAATTTGCTCAGCAGCAGCGAAGACTGGAAGGAGTGGTCTGAGTCTCTAGAAAACGGTGAGGCAAAGAGGAACTTGATTCATATATATGAGTGGTACATTCCACTTTGGAAATGCAGAATTTGAACTTTTGTGGGAATAAGCATCCAGGTATATATGTCCAGCAGGCTGATTTATATTAAAGAGTCTGTCACCCAGTATATGATATGCATTAAAAATAGAAGTTTGAGAATATTAAATATAAAGGTAGCAGGAAAAAAACATTAAAATGAGTAAAAAGACACCCAAGGAAACTGTGCAGAGTGAAAAGAGCAGTGGTCAAATACAAAGACCCAACACCATCTACTTCTTTTTACAGTTGTCAATCCATGAAATGCATGAAAGAACTGGCTTTTCGAAGTGTGATTTACTGTGTTCCCAAACCCCTTTTGCAAATGAGTTTCATATATCAGTGACAGTAATGTTCTTCACAGGGGTTTCATTTACTTGTAGTGTTTTGTAATTCATCTCTCTCACTTAGGAACACATTAGTTCACTCATTCATACAATCACTCAAAAATTTGTATCAGAATTCCTGCTAAGTGTTTGGGGCTCAAGGCTGAGCTTCTCAGGCTTTGTTGTTGTCTCCATAGGGTTACTTCATATCAGCCATGGAGACTCCAAAAGTTCTCTACGAGCAAAGCCGTGATAATATGATAATCTTTCCGGTCTATTGTTAACCATGAGATGTATTTTGTCAAGATCTGGAGGACAGTGAAGATATATTGCTTCTTTTAAATAAAATGGTGTCACAACATGAACTCTAACAGAGGGTGGGATTTTGAAGAATTATACTCACTGCTGGTGGCCATACCGCCTCATTACATCTGAGAAGAACCCGTTCTTCCATGTTGCTCTATTGTTGACATTTGCAAAGGGTAGAACTTTTCAAGGCAATTTGTGTGTTAGATAGCCACTTGCTAGATATTATCATGAGTCTACTGAGATATGAATTGATTTCATTCACTGCATTGGTTAGCAAGAATATGTGGTATTCAATCCTTTTCAGTATACCATATGTATATTTTGTACTCATTTTTATATTAAATTTTTATAAAATTGTAGATAAAATCCCAAGCATTAAAAATAGCATCATTTTAATATTTTATAAAAACTTTATATGTGTGAAAATACAGAATCATAGAACATAAACATAATGGCTGTTTTCTGAATCATATGTGAATTATTTTGTGACTGATGCTGGAAAACAATTACATACTGTCTTTTTTGGCTGTTATTGGAGAGTAGCTAAAGGCAGTGACTTAATTAAGGCAAACCAGAGTGAAAAACATCTGGCTTTTTAAGGTTACTTTTCATGTACATAGTTTTAACTTCTAATGAACAATTGAGCTTTAGAACTAACCTGTTATTTCAGTTATCTTAAAAGGAAAATAAAGGTTGGAGTTTTTGTTTTTACATATAAATTATTCACATCTCACCAGGCATCCAACATTTCTAGATTCGGTACTGAAAACTTCAATTTTGTTAAGATTATTGTACCAGATATATTACTATTAAATAAAGTACAGAAAATTAAACAAAAGGTATATGCTACACATATATAAAAGAAGACTTCATTCACTAAAGACAAACTGATAGTTTGCTTGATTTAATCAAAGTCAAGCCTATATAAGTATGAAAATATTAACAATGTCAAATTAGATACATATTAAGGCTTATTCCCTAAAAAAGTAAAGTGATAATATTCAGAAATTTTAAGCTTTTCTTTTTCTTTTACACTTTTATATCTTAAGTCATAGAGCATGTTAAAGGAAATCTACCTTGACAGTGTGATGGACAAGATGATTTAAGTTTCTATTTTCCAATTCAAATGACTCCTATTCATACATAATACCTTTTTCTATTTTGAAGATTCTGCAATATCTGTGCAAAGCAGGGCAGCTAAAAGTGATCTTGTTTTAAGGATATCACTGCCTTTGGCACATTTAAATATTACTACATAAATATCTCTATTGGTTTACCTTTCTGATGTATAGTATATTTATATTTAACTAACTCTCAATTGACTCTGTAAGAAAGATTTAAAGTGCAGACAATTGATAGGAAATTAAAACCAGGTACCATTGTATTAATTGTGTCATACTGCCTATTGGTTAGAGGAATGTGTTAAAATCCCTCAGCATTTAAAGTTTAAACTCTTTCAACTTTATATTGGCCTCAGGATAAAACTCAGGTTCTTTGTCAAAGCCTGTAAGTTTCTTCTTGGTCATCCCTCACTACTCCAGGTCTTCATTTAGGGTAGTTGTAGAGGTAGGACATGTGAAATGCTGTCGGGGTTTCCTGGGTATATGAGCTATGAATCTGAATTTGAGAAAAGAAACTCACATATGCTTAAAACCCACTATATTGCCAGCACTATGCTAAATACTTTATTTCTTGCTAATATAACATATGTGGCATATCCTATTTGTCCATTTTACAGATGAGAAAGATGGACAGAAAAGGATTAGAAGCTGATATGGTTTGGCTCTGTGTCCCCACCCAAATCTCATCTTGAATTGTACTCCCATAATTCCCACATGTTGTGGAAAGGACCCAGTGGGAGATAATTTGAATCATGGGGCGGTTTCCCCCATACTGTTCTCATGGTAGTGAATAAGTCTCACGAGATCTGATGGGTTTATCAGGGGTTTCCACTTCTGCATCTTCCTCATTTTCTATTGTCACCACCATGTAATGGGCTTTCACCTCCCATTATGATTGTGAAGCCTCCCCAGCCATGTGGAAGTGTAAGTCCAATTAAACCTCTTTTTCTTCCCAGTATCAGGTATGTTTTTATTAATAGTGTGAAAATGGACTAATACAGTAAATTGGTACCAGTAGAGTAGGGTGCTGCTGAAAAGATACCCAAATGTGGAAGCAACTTTGGAGGGCTCAGAAGAACATAGGAAAATGTGGGAAAGTTTGGAACTTCCTAGACACTTGAATGGCTTTGACAAAAATACTGATAATGATATGGACAGTGAAATCAAGGCTGAGGTGGTCTCAGATGGAGATGAGGAACTTGTTGGGAACTGAAGCAAAGGTAACTCTTGTTATGTTTTATCAAAGAGACTGGCGGCATTTTGCCCCTGCCCTAGAGATTTGTGGAACTTTGAACTTGAGAGAGATGATTTAGGGTATCTGGTGGAAGAAATTTCTAAGTGGTAAAGCATTCAAGAGGTGATTTGGAAGAAATTTCTAAGTGGTAAAGCATTCAAGAGGTGATTTGGAAGAAATTTCTAAGTGATAAAGCATTCAAGAGGTGATTTTGGTGTTGTTAAAGGAATTCAGTTTTAAAAGGGAAGCAGAGCATAAAAGTTCACAAACTTTGCACCATGACAATGGGATAGAAAATAAAATCCCATTTTCAGAGGAGAAATTCAAGCTGGCTGCAGGTATTTGCATAAGTGACAAGGAGCTGAATGTTAATCTCCAAGACAATGGGGAAGGTATCTCCAGGACATGTCAGAGATCTTTGCAGCAGCCTCTCCCATCACAGGCCCAGAGGTCTAATAGGAAAAAATGGTTTTGTGGGCAGGTCCCAGGGTAGCCATGCTGTGTGCAGTCTAGGGACTTGTTGCCCTGCATCCCTTCTGCTTCAGCCATGGCTGAAAGAGGCCAACACAGAGCTTGGGCCATGGTTTCAGAGGGTGCAAGCCTCAAGTCTTGGCAGCTTCCAGGTTGTGTTGAGCATGCGGGTGCAGAAAAGTCAAGAATTGGGGTTTGGGAACCTCTGCCTAGATTTCAGAAGATGTATGGAAATGCCTGGATGCCCAGGCAGAAGTTTGCTGCAGAGGTGGGGCTCTCATCGAGAACCTCTGCTAGGGCAATGAAGAAGGGAAATGTGGGGTTGGAGCCCCCACACAGAGTCCCTACTGGGGCACAACCTAGTAGAGCTGTGGAAAGAGGGCCGTCATCCTCCAGACCCCAGAATGGTAGATCCACCTACCACAGCTTACAGCCACAGACATTCAACACCAGCCCATGAAAGCAACTGGGAGGGAGGCTGTACCTTGCAAAGCCACAAGGGCAGAGCTGCCCAAGACTGTGAACCCACCTCTTATATCAGCATGACCTGGATGTGAGACCTGGAGTCAAAGAGATCATTTGGGAGCTTTAAAATTTGACTGTCCTGCTGGACTTTGGACTTGCATAGGCCCTGTAACCCATTTGTTTTAGCCAATTTATCCTGTTTGGAATGGCTGTATTTACCCAGTACCTGTACCCCCATTGAACCTAGGAAGTAACTTACTTGCTTTTGATTTTACAGGCTCATAAGTGGAAGGGAATTGCCTTATCTCAGATGAGACTTTCGACTGTGGACTTTTGGGTTAATGTTGAAATGAGTTAACACTTTGGGGGACTGTTGGGAAGGCATGATTGGTTTTGAAATGTAAAGACATGATATTTGGAGGGGCCAGGGGTGGAATGATATGGTTTGGCTCTGTGTCCTCATCCAAATCTGATCTTGAATTGTACTCCCATCATTCCCACCTATTGTGGGAGGGACTTGGTGGGGATAATTTGAATCGTGGAGGCGGTTCCCCCCATGCTGTTCTTGTGGTAGTGAATAAGTCTCATGAGATCTGATGGGTTTATCAGGGGTTTCTGCTTGTGCATCTTCCTTATTTTCTCTTGCCACCACCATGTAAGAAGTGCCTTTCACTTCCCACCATGATTCTGAGGCCTCCCCAGCCATGTGGAACTGTAAATCCAATAAAACCTCCTTCTCTTCCCAGTCTCAGATATGTCTTTATCAGCAGCATGAAAACGGACTAATACAGAAGCATATCCAAAAGCATACCCCTGTTATAAGATAGAACTAGGATTTCCCTCCAGCTTGTGAGTTACTTCTAATAGACTAGAGATGAAAAGCGTGTGTTCACCTCTCACTAGGCATGTTTATCATTTATTTATTCAGTCAGTCATCTAATCATTTATTCTAGAATACTTCAGAGTACCCCATATGTGTTCAGTCATGTTCTAAGCTTTGAGAATACAGTGTGAACTAACTAAAATCTTTGCCATCACAGAGCTAATATGTTAGTATAGAAGACAGGCTACAAACTAATAAATTAATAATTATATAGTCTAACTTCTAGAGTTAAGGGATACATGAAAGGCAAAGTAAGGAATCAGAGCATATTGATTCTGACCTGCCTAATTAACTATGTTAGTTAGGCAGAACAAGAAAGGCATCTCTGAAGAAGTGGTGCTTTAAAAAAATATGAATCATATGAGGACTTGACCAGGACAATATTTGGGGGAATATTTCAGGCAAAGAAACCAGATAACATAAAAGTATTCACGTGAAAATGAAGATTGTATATTCCTGTAACACTATCACTGGAGCTGAAGTGGACATGGAAGATGTAGTAGAATATTAGATCAGAAAGCTTCCTAGGAAATTTATAGCCACATTAAAGATTTTAAATTTCAATTTCAGTATGACTGGGAAACAGAGTTTTGAGCAGTGACAAGACATGATGTAATATATATGTTAAATATATGTGATTCTGTCTGCCATCTGGTAAACTATAAGAGACAGAACTGAAGTTCAGGAAATAGTTTTCATAAACATGAAACAATGAGAATTCATCAGATTCATAGTATCTTTTGAATGCAGAAGCAATAGACTTTCAGAGGATTGAATGCTAGTGGAGTAAGTTGAAAGAACATTTTCTCTCAGTAGTTCAGGCATAAGATAGCAGTGTCTTGACCTAGGGTGCTATTCCAGTTATTATGGTTTACCAAAAAATTGCCCTAAAATGGGACTGGTGTGAAACAATAATTATGCTTAAGAAATCTGTGGATCAGAAATTCCAAGAGGACACAAGAATAGCTTGTTTCTCTCCCAGAATGTTTAGGAAAAACCTCAGCTGGAAGACTTAAAGCCTGGCAGCTGGAGTCATCTAAAGACACATTCACTGACATATCCAGAGATTGATTCTAAGTTGATTCTAAGTTGCTTTGTTAGATTAGAACTAATACCAATTCTGAGAATTAAATGATTGGATTATATTTCACTCCTGATAGGGCTTTGTTTTCACTTTCCTTCAAGTGTTGGACTTCTGTAAGAATACGCAAAAGGTTGACTCTAATTTGGAAGCATCAGACAAAGAAAAGAGAACTTATTGTAGAATTGTTGCATGGATATCTATGTTAGACCCTGTCCCAAAATCTTTGCAACTAAGAATGATTATTAGTTTATTATCCCCAGAATCAAGATATATAGTTGAACAAATCCAATCTCAAGTTGTCCTTCTACTGGCTAATTAAAATAAATTGATAAGCCAATTTATATGATGATTCCATGTTTTTATTTCATATTGCTTGCTGTTGCTTTTCAGAAGTGCTTGTTTGTGTGTCTGCCCAGACATCAGAATAGACACTTTCAGTTAGAGCCTCCACCATCACATATAATCACAGTCAATGCATTCTCTCACCACTCTGCCCTTTATGCAGTCAGTAAGTTACATCAATTTTATCTCCTAAAAATATCTCAAAAATTTCCCCTCTACTCCATATTCAAGGCCAGTGCCTTAGTTCAGGATTATTGCAAAAAACCCTCCAATCTTCTTACTTTCTATATTTGCTCCCCTGAATCTCTTCCTTCTTCTATTAATACATTGCTGCTAAAACAAGTCATTTACATTGAAAATCATGCCATATATGCACAATAATTAATATGAAAAATCCAGATGATTTTTATGGTGGTTCATTATGCCTTTTATGATGTGTGGACTAGAAATGACCAGACATTACCCTAATCTAAATAGAATTTCAATTCTTTGCTTAAAAGATTTTCAGCCATTGAAAGTCACCTGTGTTTGGTTTGAAAATGTCAAGTCAATGTTTATCAGTGCTTTAATAGTGAGGGATAATTGAGCTAAACTTGAACATAAATTTAAAAAATTCTGTCAGTCTTTACTATAAATACTTGCCTATCCTGATTTGGTCTTTAATTAAATTTACAGATTTGTTAGGTATTCATAATCCACATATAATAGTTTAAATGATGCAATTCATTTCGAAAGTATTTCTTTTACTATGCTTTTAAAACATATGAGAGTGCTGATTTTGACTTCCATACTTGACTCTCACCTTAGCACTACTCATTTCTCACAGTTTAATAAGATACAAGTGGTCACTCACTTTTGAGATTATTTTGAGCTGCTATATTTGAGATTTTTTTGAAAGATGCATTAAGTCATAGATAGAATTTACATAATTATACAAAACCCTTCTGATCAGAGATTAACTGACTATAACAATGGTAAAGCCAATTAAAGGATTGCAGTGTCCAGGCATTAAGTATATCAATTTTTGTTTATATTTTGAATATTAGGGCAGAATGCTTTAAATAATTCCATAGCAGAAACATACATTGTCCTTCATGAGCCCTTGACTGGAAAAGTTAATAAAAATATTCCTATCCACAACCATAGTTAGTTGCTGCAGAAAGACAGATACTTTTACCAACAAAGGAAACATTCATTTCCAAAAAACTGCATATAAATATTTTACATAGTTACCTAATTTTCTCAAAGTTTAAATTGATTATAAATAGTTTATGTGCTTTTTCTGCATCTGAAACCTGCAGAACTCCTTAATGAAATCTTGCTTAAGCCTTCATCAATAAACCAAACCTGATGCACAGTACAGCAGTGCCCCCTGGAGCTAGATGACTTTACCAATTGGCATTTTCTAGCTGTTTTATTTGATTAGAATTACAAAAGGAGTGATTAAAGTTCACAGGCTCCATTTCTTGCAATCTAGAGAATAATGCAATGATAACTAGAGATTCATATTCACAGGGTTTTATTTTACTTTAAATGCCTTTCCCTAGACCTATTTTATACGGTGTTGTACACAAATAGAACCATCTGTATAAATTTATGGTGGAGTTTTTCTTTAGCACGTGATTTAGATTTTTCTTCATTTGCAGTTATGAATGAAGTCACACATCTACAAGTTTGACTCAAACGGCCTTAAGCACATGTATAGTATTTGCATAGTCTAGAAATCATAAGAATAATAGAATTTTTGAGCTGGAAAATACCTCAGAGATCATCTACTAACATACTCTTTTCTTATCTAGGTGAGGTTAAGTCACCTGCCTGCAGTCACACAATCTTTTTCATGATGAAACCAAAGCAGTGTATTTGTTCACAGGATGATCGATAACTAAAAATGCAAATGCCAGGGTTACACTAGATAATACATTTATTTTTATCTATAATGACATATACATTCCTAATTTATTTACTTGATATTTTTATTTAAGAATACATGCTTACATTTCTACCAACAGTTATGTCATTTAGAATAACTGTAATTTATACGTGAGAGAGCAACAGTGTGATTTGTATAACTTCTAGACTAAAAACATGACATAATGGGCAACAATTGACAATCTTTTCTTTCTCTGCATACTGCCGTGTCCAGTGAATCATGCCCTAGTTTCTGGAGCACCAAAGAAATAAAGAACCAAAGCAAGGAAGGGATTAAATCCAGGCCAAGTCAGTCTTAATTATTTAATTTGATACAGTTGTTGAAACGTGAACTGTAATCTAAAATATGTGATTCTGCAGGCCTTGGTATAGGAGTACAAGCTGCTTAGATTGTAGAGAAATCAAGAATGAAGAGAAGAAAGAAAAGAGACAAAAGGACAAAAGAGAAAAAGGAACAACAGGCTGCTTCTCTGTGTGGTGGGAGACAGTAATTTGAATATACTACAGGACATAAATACTTCTCGTTAGTATTCCTCCGCCTAAGGATAAAATTTAGCTGGAAAAATAAACTATCCATTCCTCCAAGACCTGCGTGTTAATACAGTAATGCATATCTGGAAGTCAGATACTTCCAAGACGTAGGAAATGAAGCTGAGAGCCATGTCCCTGCTGTCTTTCCTAAGGCAACAGCCATCATTTTCACCTTACCCTTACAAGTGGATAGAAAGGTCTCTAGAGAGGTATGGGAAGTAGCTACAGTAAACAGGAATGTGGTCATGGCCTTTATTCCTCAACCCTGACTATAAATTTTCTGTTACAAAAAATAAAAATAAAAAAGGAGATCCATTTGTTTTGGCTTCAGGCTGATGTAAGCTTCATTCTTGTGTTAAAATGCTACCTGTCCCTTTGGGAATCCACAATGTATATATTACAAATATTCTTTTTGCTGAGTAAAAACAGCAGGCTTTTTCATAAAATCATCTCAAGTTATTAATGTTTCTTTTACTGTATTTATTTAAAGCAAAAGCTATTCAATGTATAAGAAATCATAAGTACTTTTTAATTTTTTATTCTACCAAAAGCAAAAACAAATATGAAGTTTTATGTGTAAGTTAACAGGAAAATTAAAAGGCAAACAAAAAGGGTTGGAAGATGGCAGCATGTTTTTGTAGTAGTGAAAATGTATTAGTAAAGATTTTGGTTGAGTTGGGAGGATTGCAAGAGCCCAGGAATTTGAGACCAACCTGGGCAACATAACAAGTCCTCACCTCTACAGAAAATGAAAAAAATTAGCCAGGCATGGTGGCATGTGCCTGTAGCAGGAGTCTAAGGCAGGAGATTTGCTGGAGCCCAGGAGTTCGAGGTTACAGTAAGCTATGATCATTTCACAGCACTCCAGCCTGAATGACAGAGCGAGACCCTATCTCAGAAAGAGAGGAGAGGGAGGAGAGACAGAGAGAAAGAGAGAAAGAGAGAGAGAGAGAGAGAGAGTTTTTGGCTGACCAAACTAGACTAATCCTTCTAACAATGTTAAAAACTGGGCATTATTTCTATGTTTTTAAGCAACCAGGGCATGACCTTTTGGTATCCCAAATTATCAAGAAAAATTTGAACTTTTAGGCAGTGAAATATTTTAGTAGTGTGTTTTTAGGGTTCCTAATTACAGTAAACAGTTTAATTTTTTCCTTGGATTGGACCCAAAGAAGTTTCTTATTAAAATAAGAATATCTCAAGAATTTACAACTCCAAAATTCTGTTACATGAAATAAAAAGGCAGAATGATCATTGTCATATATGTCAGACATTATAAAGTACATTTTTCTTAATAAGAATGAATAATTTCATTATTAAAAAGCTTCTAAAAATGTGATTAGAAAACATATTATTAATATATGATCTTGATATTTTATTCCAAAGATAATAAAGATGCTGCAAATGATATTCATTAATTAAAGGAACATTTAGCAGTTACATAAACTTTCTGCTTAATTCAGAAATGTTCTTTAAGATATCTTTGACAGGTGGTCATTCAGGTTCTGTTTAAAGACTTGAGATAGTGGAATTTACTATCTCATAAGGCATCCAATTACATTTTCAACTGCTGTAAGAGCTATAATGCTGAACTCTCCCACTACAGCTTCTTTGACATAGTATAATTACCTTCTACATGCCCCTCTTAAGATTTCTAAAAGATAATTAGGCCTTTACTAAATATTTTCAAGTCAAATTTCAATAGTTTCTATTTTAAATTATATGATTTCTGAATGTTTCATACTCTTTCTCTAGACTTGATATATTTCATCATTTAGTATTTAGTTTTAGCCCAGAACCAAACTTTTTCAAATGTGATCTTAAAAGTATGGATTAGACTAGATGCTATTTGCTCAGAATTTTAGCCTAGGATTGCATTAGAATTTTTGAGCCTATCCAAACACTTTGTTTCTCCATCCTCCTTGATTATTCAAATTTTTAGTTATTTACATCTGCATGTTGTTTCAGTTCCTTGAGATATATTTGATACTTCAATTCTACTTTATGGTGTACAAGATAAACTTTCCATTTTGCAACTCGTTCTCCTTGAAAGGTAAGAGTTGTATAATTATACTTTCTTTCTGGATTCTATGGACATTATCTTATCTGCCCAATGACTAGGGCCAGTCCTTTTACTTCTTTCTTCTTTCACTAAATGTAGAAAATAAAGTCTCCTGCGCTATGGATAGTTTTATAAATCTCAGTTCTTTCTGTGCTTTTATCTTACAGGTTTAGGTTTATCTTACAGGTTTAGGTAACATTAGCATGGGTGGCCTTGATAATGAGTACTTCTTTGTAAAGCCAAATTAATTTTCTCATTGGAATTATTTGAAACTGGGTTATCAGACTGTCTTTGGATACCACTATATGTTCATATATATAATGCTACAAATTTGTTGAGGATGATGTGTTCAATACACCTGTGGAAATTGCAACTGTGTTTCACAAAGCTATCTGTAAAAATCACATTATTTTTATTTGGGGGACAAGCATTAGGAGAGAGTTTGTGTTTTGTTCAATACGTGAATGATTTTAACAAGTTCTCAATGCTCTATCTGTGGACAAGATGAATTTGGAGAATTTCTATGTATTCTATGTATTAATAGGTGACAGCCATGGTCATAGAATGATTTCAAAAATGCTACCATAGAATATATTGTTTTGATTTACACAGATCCTGAGAAAAACTGCATCAATAAATTAGCTGTCATATATTTTCATGAGCACTAAATTTTTTGGCTTGATTTATATAACTTTTTGACATTTTGCAGAATATATTCCAAATTAATTCTATTTTGAGACTAGCTGATGTTAATCCACTCTTGTGACAATAATAGAAATGAACCTAGACTAATGAGGCCATGTCTAGGTTTTGACAATAAAATTACATTATCATAGAGGAGTGTATCTGACTTCCTATTTTCTATGGCAAGGAAGTATTATTTTTCATGAACCAATTTTATTTCAGTATTTCAGGACCTTGAATACTGCATATAATCACACATATGCTTTCACCATTACTGACTTTTTGAAAGCCTTGTTACATGTCTAGCATTACCGTCTTTCCTTTTATTGATATTAGAACAATAGTGTGGCTTGTTCAGTCTCTGAATATTCTACAATTTCCTGTTCAGTAAATTCTTCTTCCTCATGACTCCAATTTAAGTTCAGAGTAGCAGTATCCCTCATTGATTCTAGATTTGATAATTAGAATTATTACATGATTTAGATTAAGTGTTTATGCATAGATTAAATTTGAACTATGATGGAACTCATTGGAATTGATGGACAGAGATGAAGAAAATGTAAACAGATTTTCTAATTTTAACCCATTTATTTTGGAAGATAGCAAAGAGGAAGGATGACTTTTGAAGAATACAGTTGACTTATACCTAATTATAGAAGGTATCTTTCAAGGGTACAAAATTATATTGGTTGAGTGCTTAGTTATTTCTAGAAACTTAGCACTTAGCCAATAACAGATCTTCAGCCTAGTAATCAAACTGTCAATCTCGAAGTCAACACAAAACAAGTTCAAGGGGTATCTAAAGACCAAACCTTAAAATATTCAGAAGGAAAGAAAATACCTATATCCTGATTATCTCAGGGATGTATAGGCATTTTCAGGGCAATGCTGTATTAGAGAGATAAGAAGCTATAACAGTAGTGTGATTGGAATGTATCTCTTAAGGCAATAAGCTTTTTTTTTTTTTGAGATGGAGTCTCGCTCTGTCATCCAGGCTGAAGTGCAAAGGTGCGATCTCAGCTCACTGCTACCTCTGCCCCCTGGAGTCAAGCAATTCTCCTGCCTCAACCTCCCAAGTAGCTGGGACTATAGGTGCCCGCCACCACGCCCAGCTATTTTTTTATTTTATTTTATTTTTTTAGTAGACACAGGGTTTCACCGTGTTAGTCAGGATGGTCTCAATCTCTGACCTCGTGATCCGCCCGCCTCGGCCTCCCAAAGTGATGGGATTACAGGGGTGAGCCACCGCGCCTGGCCAGGTAATAAGGCACACAGATCACGAGTTCAGGAGATAGAGACCATCCTGGCTAACACGGTGAAACCATGTCTCTACTGAAAATACAAAAAATTAGCCGGGCGTGGTGGCAGGCGCACATAGTCCCAACTACTTGGGAAGCTGAGGCAGGAGAATGGCGTGAACCCGGATCACACCACTGCCTGGGTGACAGAGCGAGACTCCGTCTCAAGAAAAAAAAAAAAAGAAATAGAACATGATAAGTGTGCATTTGTAATTGGTTCTGATTCTATCAAAATACAGATAATCTAGAATAGAGGTTGAAAGTTTCTCCCAATTATATTATATATGTCTTTAAGTACAGACTTATGCATACTCCACCACCCAGCCATTTCAGATTAAATGCAAATAAGCACAATATTAAAAAGACAACCCTATCAGAACTTGAAAGACGGGTTAGCACCAATCGCAAACTTATTTCAAAGAATATATGCAGATTTAATTTGGACTAAACCAAAAGAGGACGCTTCCTGTTTACAGATATTTCTGCTTTTCCCCCAGAGCAATATAGATTTGAGTGAAATCAACAGAGAGTTGTGAAAAATCCCATTACCAGTCACCAATTTGGAGGGCTGAAGGTTGTAGGTGTGACCAGGTTGCCAGGTGCATGCTTTATGGGATGTTCTGGAAGATCAATAGCAGGCTAGAGATACAGAACTTGAAGAAAACAGCTGAAATCACGTTCAGAGCTCTTTGTGGCATTGTTGTTCCAGCTTCCAGCTGCCAGATAGTCGCCACTAGGCATTCAAACTTTTTTTTTTTCATTTATTCAGTCAACAAATAGGGATTGAACACTTACGATGGCCAGGCACTGTGCTTAGCTCCATGGATACAACAATGAACATGATCAGGCTGTCATTCTCAATGAGTCTAAGTTCGGTACTTGTAGACAACTCAAACATAACAAAGACACCGTACTAATGTCACAATATAAGTAGGAGTGACAGGGATTAAGGCTTTAAATAGAATGGTCAGCAAAGTTTTTCTTTAAACTGGAATTCTGGGCTGACATCTGACTGAAGAAAAGAAGGATAGTTACCCCACTCCAGGATGAAAGAAAAATTTGTACAAAATTCTTAATGTGATCATACTTGGCAAATTCGAAGGTCACTAAGATCAATGTAGCTGATTTGTAAAAAAAAAAAAAAAAAAAAAACGGCCAGGCGTGGTGGCTCGCGCCTGTAATCCCAGCACTGTGGGAGGCTGAGAGGCAGACAGCAGACAGATTGCTTGGGCCCAGGAGTTTGAGACCAGCCTGGGCAAAATGACGAAACCCGTCTCTACTAAACAGAAAAATTAGCCCGGCGTGGTGGCGCGGGCCTGTATTCCCACCTACTCCGGAAGCTGATGCAGAAGAATGGCTTGACCCAGGAGACACAGGTTGCAGTGAGCTGAGATCACACTACTGCACTCAGGCAGGTCAAGGGGAGTGAAACCCTGTCTATGAATGAATGAATAAATGAATGGAGGGAGTAGAGCAGATTAAGTAAGCAGGGCCATAGCGTATAGACCTGAAAGTGAATACCTGTGGACCGTCACTTAAAGGTTATACGCTGGGATCTGGGAAACAATTTCTTGATGCACATTTACTCTAAATCACTGGGTCATAAGCAGAAACGTGATCCGGAGGGATAAGTCTGGGAGCAAGAGTTAGTTGTGAGAACAGAAAGGAGTCTGGAGGCAGCCAGTACCTGAAATCCTACCAAATGGCAACAAGTGTCTACATACAAGGAAATACACTTAACCAAAAAGCCAGAAAGACTTGAAGGTTTAATAACTTAACATGCAAACATGGTTGTAGTTGGAAGGAAGAAAATAAAGTCACTTTGCCATGAGGAAAAGGGACTTCTCAAACTGCACAAAAATAGAAAGCATGCAAGTAGAGTTTCCAAGCTGCAAATAACCATGACCACAGCTCAGCCTACCCAGCTAGATTAAGAGGACTGGTAATGCACTGAAATATAATCTAGTATCTGTGAGACTATTAGTATTTAAGGAAAGAAATGAAAGGTGCCCATGAACAAGAGGAAGAAGGAGCTGTAAGGAAAGTATGTCCACTTAACTTAGGATAGTAGTCCTCAAAAGAATTATGAGCTTACAAAATTGATGAATTAAAAAAATACATGAGCCTATACAAACACTCCATAAAGGGAAAAACATAGAGACTATATAGTTAGTTAAAAAGAATTTTAGAAAAAAAGGTGGGGAAAAAAACACTGAGGACAGATTTATCCCAAGAAAGATTAGATTGCAGATGATTACTTTAACCAACAATGACGTTAAAGGAAAAATGGACTTTATGCAAAATAAAGAAGTCGATCAGAAAATAGAAATTAAACTTAAATTAAAACTTAACATGTGTGACCGTCTCAATAAATACTAAAGACATTCAATAAAATTTAACATCTAATCATGATACAAAGATTTAGCAAACTAGGAGCAGAAGGGACCTGATGTGCAAAAAGCAGAATAAAGAGACACATAGTAAGCAACTGAGAAATGTTAAGCTTTTTACCACTTCCATTCATCATGGTAATGAACTTTCTAGTTAGTGCAGTAAGATAAAATAAATTAATGGAAGTTTTGTAGATTTGCTTAGAAGAAAAACAAAATTCATAGATTACCCTCATAGAAAACCGAAAAGAAAATACAAAAACATTAAGGGAATGAATAAGATATTTTAGTCTGGTGAAAATCAATATGTGAAAACAAATTGCATTTCTACATATTAATACCAAAGTTTTAGAAAATATAATTTATAAATATGCAAGATACCTATAAATGAGTATAAAAATACAACATGTGTAAGATTATAAAACCTTATTGAAATATATTTAAAAGACTTAAATTGATATCTTGAATAAGGAGATTTATACTATTAAGCTGTTTATTCTACCCTACTTTACTTGTACATAATATTAATACACATATGATTACATATATATTTAATACAATTCCAGTCAAAATCCCTAAAGGAAGCACATCAGACTAACAGTGGATCTCTCTGCAGAAACCCTACAAGTCAGAAGAGAGTGGGGGCCAATATTCGACATTCTTAAAGAAAAGAATTTTCAACCCAGAATTACATATCCAGCCAAACTAAGCTTCATAAGTGAAGGAGAAATAAAATCCATTACAGACAAGCAAATGCTGAGAGATTTTGTCACCACCAGGCTGACTTACAAGAGCTCCTGAAGGAAGCACTAAATTTGGAAAGGAAAAACTAGTACCAGCCACTGCAAAAACATACCAAATTGTAAAGACCATCAACACTATGAAGAAACTACATCAACTAACAGGCAAAATAACCAGCTAGCATCATAATGACAGGACCAAATTCACACATAACAAAATAACCTTAAATGTAAACAGGCTAAATGCCCCAATTAAAAGACACAGACTGGCAAATTGTATAGAGTCAAGACCCATTGGTATGCTGTATTCAGGAGACCCACCTCATGTGCAAAGACACACGTAGGCTCAAAATCCCTATGGGTTTCTATATCTTTTGGAGAAGAAAAAACAAAACAAAGCAAAACAAAACTAGTAGAGTGAATTGCCTTCCTAGATAATAAAATATATTACAAAACTTAAAGTAATAGGGAATATATAGGCCAGGTGTGAGGGCCTATTATCCAGGCATGATGGCGCATGCCTGTAATCCCAGCTACTCGGGAGGCTGAGGCAGGAGAATCGCTTGAAACCAGGACACAGAGGTTGCAGTGAGCTGAGATCACGCCATTGCACTCCAGCGTGGGAGTTGCAGTGAGACTCTGTCTCAAAAAAATAAATAAATAAAATAAAATAAGAATAGGGAATATTTAGTATCAGCACAGGAATAGAAACAGAACAATGGAACAACAGACGGACATACATGATTTACAAAATGAGGTGGATAAAGTGTTTAGTTTAATGCAAAAAAAACCCACAAAATACAAAATTTGATCCCACCAAACAAAAATCAATTTCAATTGAATTAAGTTAGCAATTTAAAAAGGTAAAGTTTTAAAGTTTAGAGAATACATATGACACTCTTTCTCTGACTTCACAAAAAGAAAAGGAAACATTTAAATTTTCCAAAGAACATATAAGAGGCTCTCTCTATAACTTCATAATAAAAGAAACCCTAAATCTTTAACATAAATTTTTAAAATCAGTAAATTTAATTATGCTACAAATGAGAATGTCTGTTTCCCAAAAAAACCTTTTAAAGCATATTGAAAAACAAGCCACAATTGGTAGGACATATTTGTAACATACAAAAATGACAAATGATTATTTCCCAGATAATACAAAAATCAGATACAAATGTGTAGGACAACTCAATAGAAAAATTGGCTGTGTATGAAAAACACAAACTGAAGCCACAATAAAGCCTGTTAAATACTAGATGGGCAAAAATGTTGAAACTTAACAATAAGAAGTGTTGATAAGAATAAAGAGTAACAGTATCTTATATACCTGGAAATTTTACTTCTTGCTCTTGTACTTAGCCACCAGGAAATATGCAGAAGAATGTTTATAAAGTAATTGTTCATAACTGCTAAAAACTGAAACAACTCTATTTTCTGTTCACACTGGTAAAGAAAAGTAGTATGTTAACACAATATTATAGAGTAATTCAACTGAGCGACCTAGAGATAAACATATCAACATGGTTAAATCTTAGGAATGTTGTTAATTGAAAATAAGGAAGTCATAAATGAATAATACAGTGTACATACACCATTTTTTATAAGTTATAAACACAAATAAAATTAACAACTATGCTGTTTCAGTTGGGGATCAAAACAAAAGATATAAAGGAAAGCAAACTGAAATTCAAAAATAGGGAATGCTTTGTTGAGGAGTGTGAGGCAGAGGACTGGGGCTGAAGAGACTAAACCAGTGCTACTGATGTTCTGTTTATTAAGTCATTAGACTCATTGTTTTATTATTATGCTTTAAAAGTTAAACAAATGTTGCATATGCTTAACAAATATATTCTTTATCAGCTATTACAAGTTCTATAATCCCTCACATATCAATCTGTCACTTGGTTTTTCAATATCTTAGCTTTATATATCAGCGCATATAAATCTTTCATTTTCATTAAGTATCAGCAATTATGTGAATTTCATTGTGTTGATTTCTCCACTTTTAATTTTTAATAATGTGTAGTTAGATTAGACGTAGGTGCTTTCGTTCACCTCTCAATACCCCAAATAAATCTTTAACTGCTAGGTCTGCAGAAGGAGAAATTGCCCATTCCCCCCACCCCCGGCAATCTTCATCATTATCTTCTTACCTAGTACTGATTGGTACTGTATTTCAGAAAAAGTTGAGTATATAAGTATATACACCATGACACATGTGATGACACATGTGAAAGTCATCTTGAAGAAAATTCACAACTACACTAAAATGAGAAGTAGATACTTTGCTGCAGTGAACCAAAAACAGAGTAGTGCATATAAATAGCACCATTATTCATTTTAAAAATGGTTGAATTGAAAATAAAATTGTAAAAATATGTCTACGCCAGAATTACGATAAATACTAAGGCTGCATTTTGTGTTTTTCAGCCATTATCCAATTATCCAACCAACTACATAAATAGAATGTTAAATTAATTGTCTAAGAAAAAATTTACTTAAAGTATGTTGATATTCAGTAAAGTATGTTTTCTTTTGGACCTTTGTAAAGAATTATAACAGAGCTTTTTAAAAAATAGGAATTGTCCTTTTTTTTACTACAAAGTCAAAATATGTTTGTTGTAATATGTCCTAAAGATAATACCTTGCTCATATCTTGCATATATATACTTTTGAATGTATTAAAGAGTTAGCAGTATTAAAAATATAAAAATATCACAGAGACCTTTTAGAGGTAACCATATAATTTAAAGATTAAAAACAATGCAATTTCAGAATTTCAAATAGCAAGAAATATAGTAGTGTCAAAAATTAAGGAAAATAATGTGGTATCCTAAAAATCATTTGACTGACAATATATGTATATCAAGTATATGTATACATCTAATGTATCAATTTGCTAACCTGACACCTTCACTAGGATGCTTATTATTAACAGAAATATAATTACAATTAGAACACTTTCTATTTTTTTGGTTTGTTTGTGAAATAGTCGGTTGGTTGGTTTTAGGTATCTTTCAAAGATTACCTAGAGGGATAACTATCTTTTCCCTTCTAGAGATTAAAAAAAAGATTGATTACTTTAAAGCAATGAAGTGATGTAGCATTAATCACTCCAGGATTTTTCAACAAATTATTTTTATTTTCCATTTTTATTTCATTCTATGAAATTATTCTATGTTAGTCGCACTGATTTTTCAGCCCCAAATTCTTATGGTATTTTGTTTCATTTTAATTGTCCCTTATAAGATTAATCTATTCCATCTTAGATGGGCAAAGTATAGTGTGGTTTCCTTGGCCAAGCTCTGTAATAAGCTGGTACCTGCTTCAAAGAGAAACTATTCCTGACCCTGATGCCATTGCCCTGTCATAGCCTAGTTGGTAGACAATGATGAATCAATTAGAACCTTTTGCTCTCTTTGAAAGCACTGAGAAAAATTACTGATTCTCTAATAGAAACATCACACATGAGGAAGCATACATTTTTTCAGCCAGTGGAAGATATATTAGTACTGTAGAATGCTCTCATTTTCTTGTTTTGTTAATTCAGATATAAATTATCTTTTGCAAAGTGTTGTCAATGCCTGCGGTATCCCCTGCTAGGGCAATGAACAGCATTTATCAATTCTCTCTTCCAAAGAGAAAGAAGAGCTAAACCATGGCAAATCTCCAAATACAACCTCCTCAGGTGGGATTGTCTAAGCTTCTCCTATAACACTGCCCCCTCCCATACTCATCTCATTTTTGTAAATAGCACCATTATGTATTCAATTGCTCAGGTCAGAATCCCCAAACAATTCTTAATTCCTTGCATCCTAGTCACCAAAATTCTATCTATCAGCAAGTGCTATGTATTGTAACATTAATATATACTTCCAGCATATTCATCTTCTTCACTTCCATTATCTCCCTAGCTGCTATAACATCATCAGTACTTGGGATACTGCAATGGCCCCCCAACTGGTCTCCCTTCTATTACACCTCCTCAAATGTGTTGTCTACATAGCAATCAGGATAGTCTTTATATTGTTCTTTCATTATTATGTAAATCATATATGTAAATCATTTTAATTACCCAAAAGACTACACATTAGAAGTGATTCTCTCTCCCACCTCAGAACTCTATCTCTATTCCCCAAAATTATTTCTTATATACCCTTCCTAATGTTGTCTATTCATATATACACTTATTTATATATATAGCCTCTTGTTTTCCTAAATCAGAAGATGCCATGAACAGTGTGTTCTTTGATGTTCTTTTTTAACAATAATTACTGGAGACTTTTCATATCAGTACACAAAAATCTACTTCTCTCTTTTTAACAGCTACATGATATTTAATTTTATGGATGTGACATAATTTGTTTACATTCCTATGATGATGGATTTGTTGGTTGCAGTTGTGTGCTAGGAAAAAAAAATGCTGTGATTAAAATATCACCCACTATATATTTGAATATATATGCAAGTGTATCTGCAGGATAAACTTTCAAAAGTGGAAAGATATATGCTTTTAAACACAAAATCAATATTGGCAATTAACCAAATTTCAAAAAAAGGGTGTCAGTTCAATTCCTATCACCATCTACAACATAAGAGAGCAAAAACCTAAAACCTCACCATAATCATTTTTTAAAATTTTGCCAGATACGTAAAACATGAAAATATTTAAATTTGGAGTAGGGATGAGCAATCTTTTGTTTGTAACATATCCATATTCCTTTTCTGTGTTCTGACCTTTGGTTATTTTTTCATTGGCTTTTTGGTTAATTTATATTGATTCCCTCTGTCATAAATGTTCAAAACAGAAATTAAAGTTTTTATTTAGTCAAATTTATTAGTTCTTTAGCTTCTGATTTTGTTACTAGTTTCAAGTTTTCTTCTGTTTCAAGATTTTTAATGTCTATATGGTCTTTCTGTGCCATTATGATTTTATTGTATTTCTTATATTTAGGTCTTTAAAGCCAGTGGAATTCATTTTGCTGTTAGGGTGCATTTAGTGGGGATGCTAGCAGGAAGAATGAAGCTTCATTACAGGGAGCTATCACGGATAATGGAAAAGAAATTGCCCACAGCAGACAGAACACATGGCTAGGAAGAGAGGTGAAGTATGGGTGGGAGAGTTAGTAAGAAGGGAAAGAGATAACAGAGCAAATAGAAGAGGCACAGAGCCCATGTCAGGACTTGGTGTTTGAGGAAGAAGTCTTTAACTACTTTTCTTTATGACACTGGCTCCACTGAATAGCAGTCCCATTCGAGCCTCTCAGATCTCTTTGAGCATTGGGTTGTGGTGTTAATTTCATGCAACATTTCCCCTCCAAAAAAGTTAGGATAAATAAATTTCATGGAAGCATACAAAAAGTTTGCTTGACTAAATATCTTTAGATTCTTCAAAAATTAAAAGTCCTACATATGTAAAACAACATTTTTTCAGTTACCCCAAAAGTATATTCTAAATCATTATTTTGAAAGTTGAATATTTAAAGCATGCACAATGTGACTGTTTTCATATTTTCTTGCTTTTTTAAATAGAATACATAGCCCATAAGCAAGTGCTTTCTTCAAAACATCAGGTATTTTTATGATAGCTTTAGTGCTCACTATTTGCAGTGGCTTTATGTTTCTAACCCTTCTAACTTCTTTTGCTACTGTCAGCCTATTGCACTGTGTCTAATTTGGTGGAGTCTTACCAAACACCCCAGTGCCTGGTTAAGAACTTAGGGTTAGCCCATGTCCCCTAGAGAGTAATGCTGGTGACTCCTCAGAGACACGTGGCCATACAGAGGCTTGCTTCACCAAGCCTTCATTAGAGCTGTGTTCTGGATGAGTGAGGTTGCCATAAATCTAACCTCCATGAAAGTGAAGTGTCACTGTGACATTGCCTCAAATTTTGTCCTTAACTGACTTGTCTTTTTTGTTGTTGTTGTTAAACCAAAATTGGTATATAAGGTCTTAAATCAGCATCAGTTCAATAACACTCATTTTAAAAGTGGTTTGTAATAATGGAACTGTAAACTCACTGAACTGAAGACAGTTTCACCCTGAGGAATATAATTTTTGTTACACTTTTGCTGACTGGTAAACATTACTCACTCGGGTTTTTTTAGTTTTGGGGATTTTTTTTTAAGCTAAGCACTCTATTGTTTTGCTTTCCCACAGGAATTTCACTAACCTCTCACTCAAACTTTAATCATTATTGCTTAGGTATTACCCATGTATTAATACCAAACTAAAACTTAATCATCTTAATTAAAACACCCAATCACTAATAAATTAATTGAGTATTTAGTGTCTGGGTGTTGTACACTTATAATTTTGTGAAGTAAAATTAGAAACTGAAATACATAATGCAAGCTGATTGTCTTAGAGTTTTATTAACTCTTTGTAATAGCAACTCCCTCTTGATTCTCTTCTTAATATATAAACACTTAAAAAATTAGACATTTTCAGTTCTTGTGAAAATGTAAATTTTCATGTCAATTTTTATTTGAAAAAACTTCTGTGAGTACCTGAATCTGAAAAGTATTGCCACTCTTAACTGTTGGACTGAATGATTAAAACAACTAACACGGAATATGGAGGCAAAAAACCTAGAGCAAAGATATGGTCATAATTTTATAATTCACTGTGCTAACTCCAGGAAGTCCTAATCAAGGCAATGCTCTAAATAAGAAGAGTTATTTTTTGGAAAATACATACTATGATCCAGACATTGTACTAAGCACCTGATATAAAAATCTCATTAATACTCAGGACAGCATTTTCAAATCTGGAATTGGTTGTCAATTAACTTGCCAAAAGTCACAATTGGTAATGAGAAGTACTCAGATGTGACTAAGGTCAACATACTTGTCCTTTCTACTTTGAGTTTCTGAGATATATTCTTTGGTCAATTTTACTTTTCTATTCTCAATTTCTGATCACTACCTGTTCAAAACTGGTTTGTTAAAAGATGATGAGACCACAACATATTCTAGCAATTCTTCTCTAGACGTTAGACATCATGAAAATTTCCAGTTCAGGACCAGGAGGAGTTCAAGAAACTTCATTCAAAGTCAAGATAATTTAGCATCAGGCTAAGACATTTCATACAGCTTTCACCAATCAGAGTTTATTGTGATCAATTCCTACAGATCCAATGTTGGACCAGCCTATACCTAGCAGTTGTGTCAACATATTATTAGTCTTTTCTTTCAAGCTTTCAATTTATTGTCAAAAACTGTAACTTTTACAGCAAACTATCAATACAATGGAAAGAAATAATTCTTCTACAAAATGCATATTGGCATTTTTTGTGACTTTAAATTGCATACTGTTATCAATCTTTGACATAAACCATTTACATTTTCGGAGGTAATAAAAAATAAGAAAAAGTAACATCAATAATCTGTGCCTTAAATTTTGGGGGTAAACATAACTCTCAGAATGACAAAACTGAATGAGAAAAATAGATAATTTTGTTTTATTCCAATAAAATGTTAGAAAACATTTTATGGCTTCTCCACTGACAGATTGGGTGTAAAATATCCTCAATCCGTAACCTCTTCCTATATCCATGCCGTTGACAATGTGACTTAGCAGCTCTTTTCTTTTTTGTTTTTTGAGACAGTCTCACTCTTTCACCCAAGCTGTAGTACAGTGGCACGACCTTGGCTCATTGCAACCTCAGCTTCCGAGGTTCAAGAGATTCTTCTGCCTCAGCCTCTTGAATAGACGAGAATAGAGGAGCCCACACCCGGAAAATTTTTGTATTTTTAGTAGAGATGGGGTTTCACCTTGTTGTCCAGGCTGGTCTCAAACTCCTAAACTCAAGTGATATACCTGCTTCAGCCTCCCAAAGTGCTGGGATTACAGGCATGAGCCACCACGCCCAGCCAGTCACTCTTTTCATTAAGAAGTGAAGTCTATTATCTCACACCTTGACTCTGGGGCTTTGTGATTTACTTTTGCCATTATTCAGCAGAAATGACATGGTGCCACTTCCAAGCTCGAATCTCAAGAGGTATTACACACTTCTACTGCTCTCCTGAATCCCCTGTGACTATTCTGTAAACAAGCACTGGCTAGCCTGCAGGACAGAGATAACTTGTGGAACAGAAATCAGTAGTCCTAACTGAGACCAAGTTAGATCATTTGGATCCCAACAGAAGCAGCAGTTGTCAGAGGAAACCTGATTAAGCCTAGGTGAACAAAGAAGAACTGCCCGCCTAAGCCTAGTCCAGATTAGCAACCTGCCGAATTGTGAGTTAAGTAAAAGTGTGGTGTTTTGGAGGGGTTTGACATGGCATTAGCTAACTAATAAATCACTATTAGCTAGTACATGGTCCTAAGTTTCTATTTGAACCTGAAAACTAAGCAGCCTTCCCATTACCATACAGGCATTCATTGTTTTGTTGTTGTTTTTCTTTTAGCTCACTAGAGTATTGAATATTCCATCTAAAATATCTATACCAATAGAGAAGATTAAGCTTTAGCTATGCAACATGTAAATACATGGGTGTGGAATATAAGGATAAAATCTGCCTTTGTAAATATAGTCCTACATATTAAAGCACTTGCTAATGGCAAAGACAGAAAGATTATTGCATAACTTTGCATATTTGAAGCTGCAGGCTTTATCTTGTTCTTTTATTGAGAGAAGATGTTGCTTTGTTTTTCATGGAGCCACAAAAACAGAACAGTTTTTAGATCCTAATTTTTGGGTCGATAACTTTAGGTATCACACTACCTTCTGGATCTACATTTAATAAGGGTCTGTTTTACAAACCTATACATCCATATGGGTTTCAGCCAATCGTCAGAGCCAAGAGAAATCGCCATATCCTGTTGGTTAGGAATACTTATTATAGCCATGACTTCCTTTATTGGGAAATGAATATTGATAAATTAAAAACAACAGTGACAATATGGCTTTCATGAAACAATACTAAGGCAGAAGAGAAAACACATCATCTTGAAAGAGAAAGAGCACCTCTAAAATGTAGTTTACTGTAGATCCGCGGGAAAATTCCATATTAAATCAAATTCAAAAAGTTATTAAATAGGACAATGCTGTCATAAGGAAAGAACAGTCTGGCTTAAAAGAATAAGAAGATGAGATATAAAACCAACAAGCTTAGATGAAAAGGGATCTAGGTAAGATAAGAAAAGATTTCAATAAAACTAATATCGCAGAAGTTTGAGTAAAATACACATTGGATTTACTGAAGAAAGCTAGTGACTTGAGAAAATCAAATCAGAAGAGAAAAACTTTCAGAAGCGTCCCCAGAATAAAGAGGAAAAAGAAATAAGAGAGATGACAGTGAGGAGATTATAACAGTTAACATTTATTGAGCAATTATCCTGTGCCAGATTCTTTTTTAATAATACAGATTACTTCTTTATCCTTGTAACAATCTTATGTCATTTGCACTAGCGTTTACTATCATCACCTTACACACAGAAAACTGAGGCAAGGAGAGGTCATGAAAGCTTCCATAGCCTGCAGAATTATAAATAATTAAGCTAGAATTTAAACAAAATAGTCTGACTCCAAAAATCATGCTTTTAGCACCAGTGTAATAATGTTGCTCCCTTTTTCCTGAAGAATAAAGACATTAAAAAGAAAACTTTCTGGTGTTGAAATGAAGGCTTGTGTAAACCTAACAAAAGAATTCACCAGATTCTTGCAAAGTTAATGAAAAGAGAGACATACTGGGTAAGTCTTGGAAAAATTGTTCCTATTGAAAAATAAGTTTTAGATGGCTGTAAGAACTCAAGCAGGAAACAAAATAAAAGAAAACGAAACTAAAAGAGCTTACCTTTAAGATAACAAAAATAGTATATGCCTTAAGATGTTTCTCTCCAACATTAAACAGCCAAAGAAAAGCCAGCAAAGCAAAAAGGAAGCTCACCAGGGGGTTGAGTGGGAGGGAATGTTTAAAAAATATCTGTCAAATTTTTACTTAGATATTGATGATATAGAAATAGAGTCTTAAAAAGCATACTATTCATATAACGTAGGGAACGTGTGCCATCAACTAAGAATGAAGAACTTGTGATTTTTAAAGGAGTAGTGCTAATAATGAACCATTTTAACATAAAATACAGTACATATATAATTATAAAAATACAAATTATGCAATTTGTATTTTTTGCAAATTACAAAAAATAATCTGAAATTAAATATATACAATATAAAAATATTGAATAATATTTAGGATTCTAAAACTCAGATAATGTTTACCAAAACTAGCAAATGAAATTAGTCTCCTCTGTGTTTGTGTTGGGATAGGGTGGTAGAAAGCACTAAAATTGCTTATATTATAAAGGAAGAAGTGTTATATGACAAAATCACTTCTGAAATAAATGCACATGTCATGGGCACATTGTTAGGAAACTTAGATCATAATTACATTTACAATTTTATCTCATCTAAATGGGACTTATACAAGTAATCAAGAATACAGTAGCCTGGCACAGTGGCTCCTGCCTGTAATCCCAGCACTTTTGGAGTCCAAGGCGAGCAAATTGCTTGAGCTCAGAGGTTGAGACAAGCCCAGGCAGCATGGCAAAAAACCTTCTCTACAAAATATATGAAAATTAGCCATGCGTGTGGTGCACACCTGTAGTCCCAGCTACTCAGGAGGAAGAGGTGGGAGGAGCCCTTGACCCTGGGAAGTGGTGGTTGTGGTTAGCCAAGATGCAACTACACTCCAGAAAAAGAAAAAAAAAAAACAAAATAACCTAATATTAGGTATATATCCCATTAGTAGGCCCAATAAGAAAAGTATAACAGATAGCAACATCTCAATATATGCCAAAACAATGTAGTTCATACCATGAAAACTCCTTTGAGTTAAATGTCCTAGAAAAACAGTACTTGAATAATAATAAATGATTAAGATCTCATTTTAAGTTAACAGAGAAGAGAACATCATGGTCATTGATTACATGTTAATAAAACATGAAATAAGTGCTACTGAGACATAAGGAGAAAACTTTTCGTTACTATTTACCATTTATGTGCAAGTTCTGGACAATAAAATAAGACAAAAACATAAATAAGATGTTAATGGTAAAATAAATACAAAGTAAAGTTTTTATTTACGTGTCTATATCTTAGATTAAATATATCAACCAAAACTCTAACAGTATTAAAAAATCAACCTAACATTCTCAATCTCACTTTGTGATTGTTTCCTTTGATATGCAGAAGCTTTTTAGCTTGGTGTTATCTCATTTGTCCATCATTGCTTTGGTTGTCTGTGCTTTTCAGGTCTTACTCAAGAAATCTTTGCCCAGACCAATGTCCTGGAGTGTTTTCCCAATTGGGAAGGGTTGGTCGGGGCGGGCCGGGAAAAATAGGAATGCTTAATGGGAACAAAAATGCAGTTAAAATGAGTATGATCTAGTATTTGGTGTACAATAGGATGACTATAGTTAACAATAATTTATTGTGTATTTTAAAATAACTAAAAGAGTAGAATTGGAATATTCCGAACACAAAAAAATGATAAGTGCTGAAAGTGATACTCTAGTTACTCTGATTTCATCATTACGCATTGTATACTTGTATAAAAACATCACATGTACCCCATAAATATATATACCTATTATGTATCCACAGCAATTAAAAACTAAAAACTAAAAAAAGATATACAAATTGGAAAGTTAAGAGAAGTTAAAATTTTTTAAAAATTAAAAATTAAACTAATGGAGATATACCAATAAAGGAATTATTTTATATATTATCAGTAATGAAATAAAGGATGTTATGGAAAAGATAATTCATTAAACTATAGAATAAAAGCATAACAGTCCTAGGAATAACCTCCACAAGTATAATGCAAAACCTGTCTGAAGAAAACTACAATATTGCTATAAAGACTTTAATAAATGGAGAAAAATCTTAATAGAGAGGGCAGATTAAATATAATAAATATTCAAATCATCAGTATAGATGTTTACATCAGTCCTGTCAAAATTCTAACAGTACCTCCATTACAAAATTTAAAACTAAGCAAAGGTATGCATCTCTTTCTTCCTACTAAAATCCCATTGCCATTATCAAAGAGGTATAAGAACTACTTGATAAGAAGGCTGGAAAACTAGTGGGTGTACCAATATTAGTTAGGATGAAATCCACCTGTGGGAGACATAAAACAAACAAGCAAATACAACCAGGCGGTTAAAACAAAATAGCATTGTTTCACCCGTAAATATAAGCAGTCCTGACTAGTATGGCAGCCTCATGGTGGTCAGTAACCCAGGCTTCTAACTGCATGTCCTGCCATTCTCACTGTGTTTAAGATAGCGAAACTCCAGCAATCCTAGCTGCATTGCAGCAAATAGCAGGGTAAAAGAAATGAAGGAAAAAATACCCCCTGCCCCGCCCCATTAAAGAACACTTCTCAGCATTTCACATATTACTTCACATATTTCATTGGCCAGAACTTAAGTCACATTTACATACTTAACGCTAAGAGAAGTAAAACATTAAGTCTTTACTTCAGATGGCTAAATGTCCCAATAAATATAGGAATTCCTGTTATTTAGAAGGAAAAAAAATCAGAGAATATTGAAGGGAAGCATGCAGTTTCTTCCACAGGCACCTTAGGCAGATAAAATATTGAAATAATTATGGAATACATAAGGCAAATAAGTTTTGTTTTTGATAAAACAATAATAAAAGTTAGAAATATAACTCTATATCTGCAAAAGAGGGGACTGTCAAAGAAAAATTTCACCAGAGATATACAAGAAAACCTTAATTCAAGACGATTGCAATAGGATAGAGAAATTGAACTCAGTTCTGCTGAGACAACATGCACACACAGAACTCAGATTGTGTGTGTGTGTGTGTGTGTGTGTGCGCGTGTGTAAAAGTACTGGGAGAGAGTAGGGGGTAGGTTGGTCAATGTGATTAGGCCATCTGTGTTTGCTAATTGGCACACATATCAAAGTTAGGCTCCTGCCCTCTCAGAGACTGGGACGGAGGGGCAGGATCTCCTTCCAAGATTACATATCAAAGGGATGGCTCTTAAATCCTTGAAAAAGATATTCTTGGGTTGTGAATCTGGCAAGAGGCTGGGAGAACATTTACATCTCAAGAGGCAGAGAAATAATTTCCAATTAAAAGGTTTATAAAGTAAATGCTCTAAGAAAAGGGAGGTCAGAGACCTACATTCAGAAAGAAGCCTATCTAAATGTTTAGACAAGTTGAGGGGAACATTACAGCTGTTTTGGTCCTAACTTTATTTCAAATATAACAGGGCTGGGAGCAAGAGTAGCCAGTGGGGTAACTGGTTGACCAATCAATTCTAGAATAGTAAAATCGCCATCCCAGACCCCAGCTTTTGTAAGTTCTGGTTACAATATTTGCTCCCTAGATATACCTGGAAGAGCAGGTCTTTGAATAAAGAGGAATCCATAGTAGGTGGTTCTTCTGAAAGCAGGGTTAAGCCTCAGATAACTTCATGTAGCTAGAACAAACATGGGGCCTCTGTTCTCAGAAGGCAAGTGCCCTGAAGGATTACTTTTATGTATTATGTAATACAGTATTATCTTAAGCACAGAGAAATTCTAAGTCCAAATGACTCACAGTATTGATCTACCTGAATTCCATCTAGATATTTGGCTGACAAAAGTACTGATTTGATATGTCACTGTGTCAGCATTTTGGGTGTTGAATTAGGTGTCTATGGGGGTATAACATGGAAAAAAAACTGTAAAGGAAGGGCTCTAGGATCTCACACTCGTAAATAGGAACGATAATGAACTTTACGTTTAAAAAAGTTCAGAATGTGAGCAGCCTAGAAGTACTGAGACATTTTCTTCTTTATACTTTAATGCAGTGACTTAATATCTTGAGGTAAATGCTATTAGATTATTTTTATTTTGTGTGATAACTATGCTGACTTTGAAACAGGATAGCTGTCATATTCCATCTGGCATACTGTTGCTGTTAGAATCTGTTTTGTCTTTATGTAACCCAAGATTCAAGGGTCACACTTTTTTCTTTTGTTTGTTGTCATTTACCCACTTTATCCTCTGAGCTAACATGCTATAGCACAAAGTCCTTCCTGCATTTGTATTAAACAGTATGGAAAGTTATTTATTTCATCTCTGATTAGCAACCGATTTATTTTAGTGCCATTCTCATTAGGCCAGCCTTGGGGGTTCACTCTCCAGCTTCTTTAGTGCTCTGTACTTTGCTACTGCAGGAGGTTTATTTGCATTGGGGTGTCTGAAAAGCTCCTTTTACAATGAATTGACTTGTAACTCCTGAAAATTAGAAATTTGAAATAAGCAGCCTATTTCATACTGTACCATTAAGTTAATTTTTGCTTACTTTCACATATAACATTTGAATTTAATTTCTGCTGTGTAGGAAAAGGTAAAGCAGATTGATTGGAGGAAGGAATGAATACGCATAGCTTCTTAGGATCACATGGCATTCTATAGCCTAAGAACACCAATGGGCTTTTCTGTGGTGCAAGAGCCATATTAAGATTTGATACCAGTTTGAAGATGGTGGCGTGAGAGTGTGAAAACTTGCACTGAATCTCAAAATTTGCCCTGAATCCTTTCTATGTGATGTAATCAGGATCTTTTTAGTTGTCAACAATTAAGTAAGGTCTTGGGAATGTACCTGTAGTGTTTTCTGTTGTCACAGTGTAAAATTGGAATAATGATCACGGTTGCTGTCATGGCCAACATCATCATCATCATCATCATCATCATCATCATCATCATCCACACCATTCATTGCAGAGCAGCGGTGTGAGCATTCCTGGATACTTGTTAGACCAGGTGTTAAATTACATGTCACTTCTTGATTTGGTGTTGGGGAAAGGACATAGTATACATAATTTCATCCAATGAACTAAAATGAATTGTGTACCTTTGCTTGATATTGTGTATCACTTTATACTGGAGATAAAAAGATACAAAAGTCATAGGCCCTGCCTTTATATTTATAGTTAAGAAAGAGAAACAGATACAAATAGATAATTCTAATAATATATGATATGCACTTTGGGACACAGATGAGGGGATTTGGGTCAGCTTGGATATTGAGGCCAAACTAACTTTTGAAGAGGAAGTAAGGATAAATAGATTAAAATGGTAAAAAGGGTGATGGCTTAAAGAAAGCAAGCAACTATCAACTACTAAATAGAAAAAGGGAGAAATTCTGTGGACAGTGACATTTAAAAGTCCTCAGAGAATAGACGGATCATGAACTCTAGGCCTGTTTTAAAAATTAAATTTACGAAGCTTTATTGTATAAGTTGGAGGGAAAACTAAAGATGGTGAGAACAGTTAGGAAATGTTTCATTAGTCCAAACAGGAGATTTAGTTCTAAATGGCAGAGAGAATAAAGAGTAGAGAAAGAAATGAAAGATGAGCCAAAGATATATCAAAGTTTTTCAGTCTGAATGAATGAGAATCAGGAGTTAGCTTTGAAGGAAGAAATGTGTTTTATTGAAAGACATAATAGATTTTGAGGTGTTGACTACATATAAGAAAGGAAATGACCTGCAAGAAACAAATAATTGTGCTGAAGTTCTGGAGAACCAATGAAGGAGAAATAGCATTGGGAATTACCAGTGGAGAGATATGGATTTATTTTTTTCTTGTTATCCGTGATGTAACTATTTGCATAGCTCTCATTATCTTGATCTCTCTGCCTCTCGTGGGCATATACATCAAAAGAAACATTTATTGTTAAGCTCATAAATGGTAGGTCATGTTCCCTAGCTGCCTTTCACTCCTTCATAGCTGGTAGTACATAATGACAAATCTAATTACTACTTTTGCTATTGATGGCCATGTGTGCTCCTCTGTAGATAGGCATCATACAGGCAGGCCCCTTAATAACTTTGCCACAGGACAGATGAACGTCAACAACTTCTCAGTATGATTAAGTAGAGGCTTTTCTTCTGCTCCTTTGTCTTTTTTTCACTGCAGCTTAGCAATAAAAAGAAAACTGGTAGTGTTGAAAGACAATAGTAGCCAAATCCACAGGAGCTGCTTAAATGAAATATCAAGCACTACCTCTTCAGTATAAGTGGTTTCCACATAGCCATCCATTGTGAACCCCTAGTAGGCTGAAGCAAAGTGTCTAATGAATTAGTATGCTTACTCCTACATCTAAAATCAGTCATATGAAGAAGGTCCTGAAAGCAACCACAATGAAGCATGAGCAGATGTTCACTTTTCCATTGTTTGCATTTGACTACCATGTAAGATTTAAATCACATACATTCTACATGTATGAAGGAAAAAAGAGCTATGTAGTGAAAATTTATCAAGATGAATCTATTTGTAAAAACTTAGTAGATTTAACATATTGACAGATACTCAATTTAAATTCTAAAGTATGTAAATTTTGTCAAAATTAAGAGTATTATGATTATATTCATGATACTTAGAGAAGTATTTTAGACAATGTCATTTATAGTAAATGATTCTCAGATTTTTATATAAGAATTAAAAGGATATTCATTGCTGAATCAGTAGCTCTTACAGTCGCACATGGAAATATACAAAATATGAATTTTAATTATTTGGAAGACCAATGAACTTTTTTTTAACTATGTGATCATAGTCTAGATACTTGTAGAAAAGAAAATGAGGTCAGGAAACATAAAATTTTTCATAATAAATGTGAATAATGGACAAATAGACTACCAAAGTGGCCTACATGCTATCTCTGTACATAAGGAAATTATGTATACACACAAATACATATATCATGTGAATATATCGTTTTAATACGTGTGTGTTCAAACACAAACATACACACACTTACACATATATACTTGCATACATGCACTTGGTTATTTAAGTCATATGATTGAATTCTTATAATATAGTAATGATTTTTAAAGTGAAATTTGAATTAAAACAGCAATAACACCTCTCTAGTATACAAATGGTAATCTGTTTAATCCAATTAGAAACAAATCAAAATGTCTTGAACTTTTTTAAAGGCACAGTTTGTCAAAAATAATATTGTACAACTTTAATTTTACAATACTAAATATTGTTCTGCCAGTAGCTCATGATATTTACAATAAATTTTATATAACTTTTTAGTAGAAATATTAAAAAATCCATTACAAAGAGAAAACTAGACCTAGGAAGAAAAGAAAGATGATGCTCATAGACAAAGTGGATAAGCATCATTTTAGTTGAGGAAGTTTCTAGTGAGGATCTGAGTATCCTAATCATTTCAGAAACCCTTCCCCTGGATGTTTAAGTTTTTTGCAAGACTGGGTCTCAGTTTTTCTCTGAACTTTCACACCTGTTACTCATAATGTAGTTCATGGCTGGCTGTTTTTTGCCTCAGCTTCTACTGAAATTGCAATTATCATGGTCAACAATGATGGCTTAAATGCTAAAAATAAGTGAACGTGTTTCAAACCTCACTTCCTTCCATCTTTCTATAGCAATTAGTATTCTTTTATCCTCAAAATATTTTGTGCTTAATTTTTCACAAAGTAATCTCCAAGTTTTACACTTACATTACAAAATTTGTTTTCTGGGTAGGTCAAGTCATCTTTAACATCAAATTTCCTTTAAATCTAATAGTCTTCAAAACTTCGTCCTTCCCCTCTTTTCACTTTGCTTCTATATGTAATTTCATACATTTCCAAATCTTTGATTGCTTCTGCAAGGTCATTTCCTCAAAGGCAAGTGTATTGACAGATGTATTAGTCAGGATCCAAACAGGAAACAGATGCACATCATGTTACAATAATGCAAACAGGATTTATTTACTACGTGGCAAGAATACGGGAGTGGATGAGGTGTAGTGGAAACCCAGAAATAGTACAGAAACCCCAGGTGAGCAGCTGACAAGCTATTACCATCCCTGGGCCCAGGGAACAAAGCAAGAGGAAGGATATGTAGGAGAAGTGACTTCTATCAAGGAATGCAGCCATCTTGATGTGACCTCAGAGACGGGGACTGACAAGAATGAATATTATTCTGATCACATTTTCTTGCCTCCCTCCCAGCTCCTGCTAGGACTTCCCTTTGGGCCAAATAGTCTAAAATACAGAGCGCAGAGGGGCCCCATTGATGTAGTAAGATAGGTCAGCTTTCCTGGCATATTTCATGCAGGAGCAAGCTAGAAATTGACTCTGGAAGAGCAAACTGAAATAATCTGTCATAGTGGCATACATTGAAAACAGCATGCACCTTTTTGTTATATTGCTACTTTTTAACTACACAGATGACACCAAACATGCACATTCAGACTGTTTTCCAAACGAACATGTCCTCCTGAGAAATGTTTTAAAATTTTCTTGAGAGTGGTATTGTAGCTAGAAAATATGGGGAAGACATGGGTACAGTGAGGCAAGAGGGTATTACACGAGAAAGGCCAAATAATTGTTTAATTAAGGCCTCCCTAGAGCAGAACAACAATCTGCCACCAATTTCCCAAATCTGGCTTTCTTGTACCAGATTTCCTAGAAAATAGAATGTGAATTAAAAGCTTAGGTTGATTACAGTTCCCAGAATGAGGGGAAGTTGGGGGTTAAAGTGCATACAGAGGACAAATAAGAAGGGGTGTATTACTAAGCAGATCACAACTTCATAACAGTCACAACTGATGGCTTCACCACACAGGACATGTTAAGATAGCCCTATACCCATCACATCAGAACAGTCTTTTGGGGGGAAGAAAAGATGAATTTATGGCCCAGTTCTAGCCCTTGATTCATAACGGCTAAAGCCTGTCCCCTTGAGAATAAACCCCCCTGCACTAAGTCACCTCAGTGATCAGTCCAGTTAACTTAGAGGAAGCAAGGGTCCTGCTGGTTCAGGGTACAGGTGCAGTGATCCCTCCCATAGATGATGGCATGTGAGGGCCAGGTGTCAGTACAGACCTGATACTTCTTTAGTGATGTGACAGCTAAAAAAACTCTGGTGCTTGCCATGGTCTCTGGACACAGCAAAGAAACTCTTAAGACCAGGAAATAATTTGTAGCGCTGACAGTGACCCACGACGATAACTATAGTAGTGTAAAATTGTGCAAGTGTTTGTTGCTCTCACAAGAAAGCACTGATGTGTAAACTATGATGCCAATTTATCACTTACAATGAGAAGATGTGACTTTCAAACACTTACATTTAAATCTGGGCCTATTATTCTACTTCACATAAAACCCACTGATATCTACAACAATATTTCTCAAGAGTTTCTGATGTGTGCAATTAAAGGCTTAGAAGAGTAAAGAAATACAGTATTTTGTGCCTTACTCTAGCAACAGAGTACACAGAATATTTTATTAAAATGTTGTTTATTTTAAGCCATACAAATATTAAATTTTAATTTAAACTATTTAACTGATATATTAATTAGCTTCAAGGAATATTGATATTTCCAGAAGCTAAACCATGTGTATCCTATGGGTTTTAGTACTTCCTCACATATAGTTAAAAGCATTGACATAAAGAATAAGGTCCAAACTTCTCAACATGATATGTAATATGCAGTGGCCTTTATGTTAAAGGCTCTAACACATTATTTAACTACTCTGCAACTATTGAATGCCATCACTGTTAAAGGGAATATATTGGGCACACAGAATACAATGAGGAGTGAAGAAATAGATAAAATCACTGAAGTTACAGTTTAGATTCTAGGAGGAGTATATAAATAAATAAGCTATTGCAGTATAGGGTGATAAGATTTCTAGTAGAAGTACAGGGGCCTAAATATATACGACTTGTCTAACTTGTACTAGAGGAGTGTCAGGCAAAGCTTCTTAAACAACTATCTTCTAAGTTAAGAATTAAAGTACAAATAAGCATCCATCAGGGAAAGTAGGACAAAGCAGAGAAGAGCAAGTTGTTTGAAGGCCGAGAGATTAGACATGAGACTCCTCAAGAGGCAGAACCAGCTTGTGAATGGCTTTGAAAGCCATGGTAAGAAGATTAAACTTAATAGTAAGAATGATAGGGAGTCTCTGAATGTTCTAAGAAGGGGAGTTGTGTGAACAGGTTACATTTTAACATGATCACCCTGACTATGATGATTGACAGGATGATTAAGACTGGAGTCAAGGAAGCCAATTGGATTGTTTTCACAAGCACTTAGGCATGAAGTGGTGATAGTCAACAGTGGACTGTCAGACATATACCAATGATTGAAGATATCTTGGTGATAGAATGAATATGTGGAGATAGAAAGAGGAAAAAGGATTACGCTCAGGTTTCTAATTTGAATTTGGGCTATATAGGAAGGCATCAATGAAAGAGGATGGGGCATGGAGAGTGCAGAGGGTGAGAGCTCAGGGGCCCATATTACATTTAAAGGGAGTTGCAGAGTTGTACAAATGAATCCCATCTGAAGCACTAAAGAGAAATTGGGACTTTTCAACACCTGTAAGACAAAATATTCCAAAGCTAGCATTGAAAAATATTCAAATGACAATTCCATCATAATTTATACTGACTTCTAAATCCATCCTCTAAAATGTATTACATTTTCCAGTTGCCAGTACTGAGAATTTTTTACACTTTTTCACATACTGTTTTTTCAGCCTAGAATAACCTTTTCCACCTTGAAATCTCCTTTCTATTCTTCAGGATTTAAATCAGTTGACCTCTCTTTGAAGCCTTCTTAAATTCTTGATACAGACTTAATTTCTTCCTTTTGGCATTTTAGAACTTCTCTTCACTTACTTTGTCTGTGGGTCTCATTAACCTCTTCAAGAGCTTCTTAATGGTGTGTGACCAGATAATCTTTGCATACTCACTACCTAGCACATACTAGGCACACGATGAATATTTAGGGAAGAAATGGATAAACACACTAAACTATTTCAGCAAAACATGGTCATAATACTGGTTTTATAGTAAAACAAATAAGAGAAAATGAAAAAGAAATGGCATTTTACGTTGGGAGAACCACATAGCTGCTTGCTTTTATTTAATAGAAGAGAAGTAACAACTAAGAATAATTAGTTTATAATTATCTCCCTTGTACTGTGCCTCAGTATACTAGAGTCACACTCTTCTTCTTTGAAGTGAATCCCCCTTGGCATTCCTGAAGGTACTTTAATACACTCAGTAAAACAAGATTGCTTATATAGACATCAGAAGCAACCCTAGCTATTCAATGCTGCTATACCATAATTCTCTGAGGTCCACATATTCTCACCTGAAATAGTTCTAGTAGTTCTCTGAAATATGATGTTCAGTACATAAAGATTATGCAATTGAGTTGCTTTAAAGCTTATTAAACAAATCTACCTGTCTTGAGATAAGCTGAAGGACTGTAAAGACTATTTTAAGGTTTCACGTTTGACTGCATAAAAAGTAATGGTAAATAGACTATCTCTATTGTCCTGAGGATACTGCTGGTTAAAGCCAATTACCCAGCTTTTCACAGACAAGCCATTAATAAACGTTCATATCAGACAAGGCAAAATCCATTGCTTCAGTAGTATAATATTGGGTGTAATGAACAAGGTGAGATAAAGAGTGTTGCTTTAATCTATGAACTGTCCTTTCCCTCAGAGCCTTTTGATCTACTTACGTGTTTCCTCATATTATCTAGTGTATTTGTAGAAAAGACTAAACTATACAAATAATTTAATGTTCTTTTTTATTCCAGGATTTGCATAAAAGAAAAATAGTATGCCAACACGTCTAAAAATAATGGAAGATATATCATTATTTGGTTCTTTCCTTAGAACTCACATGGAAATTAATAGAGGGCCCTATGTGATTGGGCTTGTTCTTTCTAATACAACAGAATTTTAAGTAATGATTTCCCATTTGGATTCTAGTTTTTTAGGTGCATACTTCTCTAATATCCAGCACGAATTTATCGGTAAATTTGTGATTCCTCACAGTAATCAGAAACCAATGATTACCCTTCAATGTAAGCTATTGGATTTTGAATGTAAAATGATTGTGTCTAACTTTTAAAAATGCTTTTGAATTTTGAAAGGAAAATTTTTCCATCATTGCTTTAGCTATTTGTGGCTCTATTTTATTAAGCCTAATATGTTAAAATAAATCTTTTAAATCATTCCCCTGATGCAGTAGGCATTTGTAATAGCTGTAAGGTTTTCTCTTTAGAGAAATGATTATTTTCCCCTGGCCACGGTTGCGTGCAATTCTGCTAGCTGCCCCCAGGTGAAAAATGGTATTGAGGGTTGTGATTTTATGACCCAACTGAGCAGGAATGTTATTAAATGGATCACTGTTTATTTGTAAAAAGTATAGTTTACCGACTTATCAGGCAATGTGGTGACATAAGTTCATGTGCTCAAGTTTCCACTTTTCTAAATTGCTTGAGAAATATTTTTAAAAGGTCAAAATAATAAATCAGATCTGGAGAAAAGGATAGGTAATATTAGGAATTTCTATAAGATACACTATTAGAACCAGATGGACTGAATTTTTTCTCAGCATGAAATTTGTATCTTCCATTTCAGTAAATTGTATTGTTCACACAGTTACTTAAATTCAAAACCTGAGATTCACTTACATTTTTCTTTCTCCCCAGGCTAGGTATTTTCTGCCTCACTTCCAGGTCTGTTCTCCATTTTTCTCTACTCTGCCTCGTACCTGAGAGGCTGACTTTTATTGGTTGCAACTAACAAACTCCCCATTGCCTCTGACTTCCAATTGTGTTTGGGCAATGTGATGGAAGGACATTGAAGGGGTAGCAAGAAAAAAAGATCAGAGGATTTATTCCTTATTCTCTATCCGTTAAGTACAAGTTTGCGGTAGATGCATTCCTCTCTCCAGGACCACAGCTCTTATCAGGTGATTCTTCTCCTATACCTACATCTTTGTCCACATTGCAGAAATTATTCCATCTGCTTGCTTCTTCAAGTCCATTGATTACTATCCAATTCTAGCCCTGGAAAAATTTCTCTCTTGTTGATTCTCTTAAACTTTTCCAACTTGAAGTAGTCTGTTCCTTAAACTCATTTTAATTACCCTTCCTTTTTTATTATTATAAATGTATGGAGTACAAGCACAATTTTGTTATATGCATAGATTGCACAGTGGTCAAGTCAGGGCTTTTGGAATATCCATCACTTGAAAAGATACATTGTACCCATTTAGTAATTTCTCATCATCCACCCCCCTCCAACTTCCTCACTCTTCCAAGACTCCATTGTCTATCATTCCACTCTGTACAACCATGTGGACACATTATTTAGCTCTTACTTATGAGTCAGAGCAAGTTCTATTTGTCTTTCTGTGTCTGACTTATTTCAAATAAGATAACGGCTTCCAGTTCCTTTCATGTTGCTGCAAAAGACATGATTTTATTCTTCTTTATGGCTATATATACTGTATTTTCTTTGTCCAATAATCTATTAATGGACCTTTATGTTGATTCTATATTTTTGATATTGTGAATAGTGCTATGATAAACATATGAGTGCAGGTATCTTTTTTTTTTTTTTTTTTTTTTGAGACAGGGTGTCACTCTGTAGCCCAGGCTGGAGTGCAGTGGCGTGATCTCTGCTGGTTGCAACCACTGCCTCCAAGCCTCCAAGATTCAAGCTATTCTCATGTCTCAGCCTCTGGAGTAGCTGGGACTACAGCCATGCACCACCATGCCTGGCTAATTTTTGTATTTTTAGTAGAGACAGGGTTTCACCATGTTGCCCAGGCTGGTCTCGAACTCCTGAGCTCAACACAATTCGCCTGCCTTGGTCCCCCAAAGTGCTGGGATTATAGGTGTGAGCCACTGCACCCGGCCGATCTTTTTGATATGTTGATTTATTTTTCTTTGGACATATACCCAGTAGTAGGATTGTTGAATTGGATAGTAATTCTATTTTTAGCTCTTTGAGAAATCTCTATACTGTTTTCCATAGAAGCTGTACAATTTACCTTCCTACCAACAGTGTATAAAAGTTACCTTTTCCCTGTATCCTTGCCAACATCTGCTATTTCTACTTTTTCTGAATGTACCGTCTGTTTCCTGACAGCCCCTGACTGGTACACACCTCATACTTAAAACCAACCACAAAGTCCTTTTGGAAACAAACCGTATTTCTCCTAAATCTCTTTACTTTTTTACATTCCCATAACATTCTCTTAGTTCAAGTATCAGTCCAATTCTCCTCCTCCTTCAACTGCCTCCAGCTCCTTTCCAAGCCATCCTCCATGCTAAAACCAGAGTGTAGTTTCGAAAATAAACATGAATTACTAATTTCCTGCTTAAGAGACATTGATGACTTCACTTTGCCTTAAATGATGGCTGACAAGCCTCCCCATATTCCAGCCCTCTCTCTCAAGACGCACCTATACACACACACACACACACACACACACACACACACACAAGCTTCTTCTGTACCAAATCACTTGCAATTCTCCATGCATGCTGTCTCATTCCTCTAGGTTTTAAACACATAACTTAATCTGGCAGGTTTCTGAGTACCCTTCCTAACATCACAGACTTCTTTGCCTCTCCTTCTTCTCCTAGCCAAGTCCTTCTGGTCTTTTAGGACTCGGCCTCTTGAGGATGTTCTTATTGATAGTTCTTACTCTGCTAATGTCAAATATCTTCTTAACCTCAAACCTGTCATCAGCAGGCCCTCTTTTGTCTCCTACCAAGAGTGTAGAAATTTTAGGAAGTTTTAGTTCAAAGCTCAAACTATGAGAGTTCAAACTCATTTCCACCATACAAATATTTACCTTGAGACCCTGAGTCTGTTTATTAAGTGTTTTCTGTTTTCTCATTGTACATTTAGGAAAATAAAATTAGTTTTTTTTTAATTCTTGTGAGAATTAAATTATATTAGTACATATGCAGCATTTAGAGCAGTACGGGTATAGAGTCACCCTCAATGCATTATGCAATATTACAATTGCCTTTTTTCCTCGACTCTACAAAACTGAATTCTCCTTCAAAGGGTCCCGGTTTTACTGGTCACCTTATAATATTGATGGGTGAGTTTTTGTTGCATAGAGGGTAATTTAGAAGTCCTTTTTGGTTAAGTAAATGAATGATTTGTGTGTAATTAATCCTAGATCGATTTACTTGGCTTTTCGTTTGGTCTATTTTGTTTTTCAAATCCTGGCTGGTAATGTCTAGGTCTAGATTTTTTAAAGGAGTCCTTTCCACGAAATAGATACTCTTTGAGACTCCTATGAGCTTCAGGAAGTTCCTTCCTCCTTGTGAGGCTCAGAAGACAGAGTTGCATTTGTCTTTGCCAGCACATATGTTCTTATGGCTAGAGCTAATTGTGTGATTTTTAATTATGTCACCTTGATTACTGACTTGTCTTTCACTAATTTGGATTCACTTTCCAGGTAATAAGTAATCACACATTTTTAATGGTGGCTTGTATTTTAGAATATTTTTCTTTCCTGTAAGTTTTATGTTAATTTGGAAGTATTCCAGAGTATTATCTCTCCATATTGAAATGAATAAATTAAATTTAATTAATATAATAAATGTTTCCATTTGACATGAAACACTTAGTCCTAAAATATCGCATATTTATATATTTCTTACTAACCATAATGGCAAGGCATTCAAACTTCAATGACTTCCAAATCAAAATGAAGCCATTAAGTAAAAATATAGCATTAGTCAAAAATAAAGTTTTTATATAATTTTCAATTTAATTTCCTGCATTCCCTCAAAAATCTACATACTTTTTGCATTTGAATATGAATTTGTGATTTAAGGACCCATACTATAGAGTTCACTGCCCATAGGGGTTCATTGCTTTTATATCTAAAAATGGTTTGTTTTTAAATGCCTTATCTCAGAATGTATCTATGGATTAGAACAAAGGTAAAGTCAAAAAATACTTCTCTAGCAACTACTAGATGTCAGAACTATGGTAAGTGTTCATTACTTAAGTAAATAAATGAAGTTGCTTTAAGGTTTTAAATCCTAGAAAGGGAGATGATTATAGTAAAACAATTAAGTGTTCTATGGTACAAATACAACATACAAAATATTGAGCTATGCAAACTGTACACACATGTCTAAGCCTACTTTTATCTAGAATCTATAGAAAACACAAAAGCATAAAGACATCACACACACACCCCTTCAAAAGCTACATTCATATATATCAGTGTTGAAAGCAGTAAGATTCCTTTAGGAGATATGCATTCTGAGAAATTTACGGAAGATTTAAAAATAACTGTGACTTCCATTTCAGGTAGTATGGCAACTAAAAAAATATCCAGCTATAAGACATATATAACGTTCATGCTAACAAAGAGAAAAAAGCTCTAAATAAATTACTATAAGCCAAGATAAAAATTCTTACAGCCGATAAAACAGAAAGAAGGAAATTAAGAAAGAAAAGAGAGGGAAAAAAAAAAAGGATGCCTAAGGAAACTTTCATACCTCACCTATATGTAGGAGGAGGAAAATCTTCCCCAATTATTTATAACAATAAACTAGCTGGATATGGAGGTTAATGGACAAAACCTATTATGATTTACCCAAAATTCTTTTTTTTTTTTTTTTTTTTTTTTTTTTGAGACGGAGTTTCGCTCTGTCGCCCAGGCTGGACTGCAGTGGCGCGATCTCGACTCACTGCAAGCTCCGCCTCCCGGGTTCACGCCATTCTCCTGCCTCAGCCTCCCGTGTAGCTGGGACTACAGGCGTGCGCCACCATGCCCGGCTAATTTTTGTATTTTTAGTAGAGACCCAAAATTCTTAAATAAGATTTTATTTTATAATGTTTCCTATTTGGAATTTTCCTCAAGAGATGGACAAAGCAAACACAAATCCTCTTTGGAGTAATGGCTTATCCTCAGGCCTCTAAGTTTTCTCACAGATAAAGTTCCAAAGAATATGAGGCTACAGTGAAAAATGATAAAGCATTTGAAGAGAAATAAAAAGCACCATGAGACAGGAACCAGCTGAACAAAGAAGGAAGTGGCTTAAATCTGCAAAGATCAGAGGTTGCCATTATCAGATACAGAATTTTTTTAAAGTTATGCTTATTTTTTAAGAAATGAAAGAGGAAGATTAAAGTAGATATAAGAAAAAGGATGCCATAAAAACGGAGTATAAGCCAGGTGCAGTGGCTCACAACTGTAATACCAGTACTTTGGGAGGCTTAGGTAAGAGGATCGCTTGAGCCCAGCCAGGATGTTGAGGCTGCAATTGTGTCACTGCACTGCCACCTAGGCAACTAAGATGCTGCCAAAAAACAAAACAAAACAAAACAAAACACCCACAAAAAACAAAAACAAAACAAACAAAACAACCTGAGTAAAGAGTTTTAAAAATAATACCAAATAGACATGAACTCATCCTTTTTTATGACTGCATAGTATTCCATGGTGTATATGTGCCATATTTTCTTAATCCAGTCTATCATTGATGGACATTTGGGTTGGTTCCAAGTCTTTGCTATTGTGAAGCTGGAAACCATCGTTCTGAGCAAACTATCACAAGGACAGAAAACCCAACACTGCATGTTCTCACTCAAAGGTAGGAACTGAACAATGAGAACACTTGGACACAGGGTGGGTAACATCACACACCCGGGCCTGTCGTGGGGTGGGGGGAGGGAGGAGGGATAGCATTAGGAGATATACCTAATGTAAATGACAAGTTAATGGGTGCAGCACACCAACATGGCACATGTATACATATGTAATAAACCTGCACGTTGTGCACATATACCCTAGAACTTAAAGTATAATTTTTAAAAAAAGATAGAAAATAAAATATTAGCAAATAGAACTTCAAAAAGTAAAAGTATATATAAATTTTTGAAATCGACATACTAAACAGAAGTTAGACAAAGCTGTGAAGAGAATTAATGAGCAAGATAGTATATCTTAAAACATGCTATGAATTGAAAAAGGTGTTGCAAAAGGAGCTGAGGATATGGAGAATAAAATGAGAAAATTCAATTTCATATAATACATATTTTAACAGGAGACTATAAAGTGAATGTGAGAGGGCTATATTTGCAGAATAGATAAAAACCATAAATTCTCTAAATAGAAAAGCCCCCTGTAAAACAACCTAACCTAGATGAATAAAAACGATTCTTTATCTCAACACATCACACTGAAAACGTTCTGTTCAACAAAGACAAAGGGAACTTCTTAAAAGCATCCAGAGAGGAAATACAAGTTTCCTACAGAACTGATAACTGGACTTAACAAGTGAATTTTCAACAGAATCAATGGAAGAGGGAAAACAATGAAAACATTACAAAATGCTCAAAAAGACCAACAAATCTTATTTGAAAAGATGTAAAATGGACCAACATCCATTATATAGGATTATCTCCTATAAGTTGACAGATGAAAACAATTGAAGAAGTGAGGAAGCATATATTCTAGCAATTCAAAATAGATAAAATGTAAGTAAAAAATTCTATACCAGATATATAACCAATTAAATGAAGATTACAATTAATTTTAGTGAGGGATTGGGGAAATCAGTACTCAAAAATATTTGGGGAACTGAATTTTCTAATAGTTTTTATGGAGTATATATTAAAATGAAAACTGGGGACATTTTTTTGACCCAATAAGTTACATCTCTAGATATTTATTCTTCAGATGAACTCACAATGGTCACAAGATATTTGTATGATGATATTCACTGCAGTATTTATAACTTGAAAAACTTGAAACAACCATGATGTTTATCAATAGGGAAATGATACAATACATTGTGATTCATCTTCAGTAAAAACTTCTCTCATTAAAATTCCTGAGTTACATCATGTATAATGAAAATAAAAGATCCCCAAGATGTTTTGCAATTGAATGTGAAAAAATATGTTGTTGTATTTTAGTTTTGTTTAATAGCAATTTTTATAACATGATTTGTATCACAGAAGCTGGCTGGATCCACCAACTCTTTTTTCTACTTTTCTAGGCACAAGGACACTACTGTCCTGTGCTCCCTTGCAGTGAGTTTGGCCATGTGTCCAAGTTCTAACCAATGGAATGAGATGTATGAAGATTTTCGATGCTTCCTTTTTCCCCTACCTTCTTTACCCTGTCTGGTATTTGAATATTTGAGTGTGACACCCAAGGGGACCTCAGGAGCTATGTGCTGAAGTTGATATATTCTATGTCACCTGAGTCCACGAAAGTGGCTGAATGACTATACAGAGCAGAAATCCTCCTGTCTATGCTGATAGAACTTTATGTGGACAAAAAATGAGTTTTGGTGGTGTTAAGCCACTGAGATTTGGGAGCTGACATTACTCTTGACTAACACAATTCCACTTAAAAGCTAATAAAGAAAGAAAACTAAGTTATAGTTATAATCTGGGTATGATATGTATTTGTATGAAATGTAACACAGAGAGTGATTGCCCCTTGGCAATGAAAGTGTATTGGGTTTGGAGGAGGATATGAATAAAAATACTCACTTTATGTGCTTTTATTTAGTTGGAGATTTTATATATACAAATAAAAATATTACATATATGTAAATATATAATTTCATATATTTACATATATTTATATAATTATATTTTATATTTATTATACTTAATAAATATATATAAATTATAATTAGTTTATATCAATATTTATGTATTTAATTTATATATTGTATATATAATATATAAAATATATATCAATGAGTATGATATATGAATACTATATTTGAATATATTATATTTATTAATATGATTATATATTTATATAATTCATGTTATAATTTTTATATATTTATATTATATATATTAAAAACTTGAACTGCATTTTGAAGGATGAAAAATGTGAGATTTTAAGGTTAAAGTTAATCTCAGAGGAACCTCAGCATATGAAAATCATAAGGCATAGAATATTGAAAATATTATCCTTAGATGTAGCTAGAACACACATGGGATATAGAGGAAGACATTCCAGGCCGATGAAACCAAAAAGTGGGATGATACAAATAATAGAAAATGAATACTTTGAATTGGAAAAAATTGGGGCTGAGAGTAATACAACAAGAAAAATGAACACAGTGAGAAGGATGGATTAGAGGATGACAGGAGCTAAAGTCACGGATGTCAAAAAGGAAATATGAACATAAAACTGTTGAAACATGTAGAGGGTATTTTACAACAACAACAACAAAAAAAACTTAGAATTTGAGGTGTGGAGGGAAGAAAGAAAAATCCCATTTCTGATACTTTCTGATTTGGTTTAAATGCAGAAAGTATCAATCTAATTCCCATCCAGCTTTGGGTTCTGGTATCAAAAGGCAGAGAGTTTGCCTCTTCTCTATGATCACAATAATAGTGTGAGATTTTAACACCCCACTGTCAATATTAGACAGATCAACAAGACAGAAAATTAACAAGGATATCCAGGACTTGAACTCAGCTGTGGACCAAGCAGACCTAATAGACATCTACAGAACTCTCCACTCCAAGTCAACAGAACATACATTCTTCTCAGCACCACATCGCACTTATTCTCAAATTGACCACGTAATTGGAAGTAAAACACTCCTCAGCAAACGCAAAAGAACAGAATTCATAACAAACAGTCTCTCAGACCACAGTGCAATCAAATTAGAACTCAAGATTAAGAAACTCACTCAAAACCACACAACTACATAGAAACCGACAAACTGCTCCTGAATAAATAACGAAATGAAGGCAGAAATAAAGATGTCCTAAGACAAAATGTACTAGAATCTCTGGAACACATTTAAAGCAGTGTGCAGAGGAAAATTTATAGCACTAAATGCCTACAAGAGAAAGCAGGAAAGATCTAAAATTGACACCCTAATATCACAATTAAAAGAACTAGAGAAGCAAGAGCAAACAAATTCAAAAGCTAGCAGAAGACAAGAAATAACCAAGATCAGAGCAGAACTGAAGGAGAAAGAGACACACACACACACACACACACACAAAAACCTTCAAAAAATCAATGAATCCAGGAGCTGTTTTTTTTGAAAAGATCAACAAAATAGATAGATACAATAAAAAATGATAAAGGAGACAACAACACTGACCCCACAGAAATACAAACTACCATCAGAGAATACTACGCAAACTAGAAAATCTAGAAGAAACTGATAAATTCCTGGACACATACACCCTCCCAAGACTAAACTAGGAAGAAGTCAAATCCCTGAATAGTCGAATATTGGAAATTGAGACAGAAATTAATAGCTACCAACCAAAAAAAGTCCAAAACCAGATGGGTTCATGGCTGAATTCTACCAGAGGTATAAAGAGGTGCTGGTACCATTCCTTCTGAAACTATTTGAAACAATAGAAAAAGAGGGAATTCTCCCCAACTCGTTTATGAGGCCAGCATTATCCTGATACCAAAACCTGGCAAAGAAACACACAAAAAAAGAAAATTTCAGGCCAATATCCCTGATAAACATCGATGTGAAAATCCTAAATAAAATACTGGCAAACCTAATCCAGCAGCACATCAAAAAGCTTATCCAACCAAGTCGGCTTCATCCCTGGGATGCAAGGGTGGTTCAAATACACAAATCAATAAACCTACTCCATCACACAAACAGAAACAATGACAAAAACCATAATTATCTCAATAGATGCAGAAAAGGCCTTCGACAAAATTCAGCAGGCCTTCAGGCTAAAAACTCTCAATAAACTAGGCAGTGATGGAATGTATCTCAAAATAATAAGAGCTATTTATGACAAACCTATAACCAATATCATACTGAATGGGCAAAACATGGAACCATTCCTTCTGAAAGCAGGCACAAGACAAGGCTGCCCTCTCTCACCACCCCTATTCAACGTAGTATTGGAAGTTCTGGCCAGGGCAATCAGGCAAGAGAAAGAAACAAGGGGTATTCAATCAGGAAAAGAGGAAGCCAAATTGTCTCTGTTTGCAGATGACGTGATTGTATATTTAGAAAACCCCATCGTCTCAGCCCCAAATTTCCTTAAGCTGATAAGCAACTTCAGCAAAGTCTCAATACAAAATCAATGTGCAAAAATCACAAGCATTCCTATACACCAATAACAGACAAATAGAGAGCCAAATCATGAGTGAACTCCCATTCACAATTGCTACAAAGAGAATAAAATACCTAGGAATCCAACTTACAAGGGATGTGAAGGACCTCTTCAAGGAGAACTACAAACCACTGCTCAAGGAAATAATAGAGGACACAAGCAAATGGAAAAACATTCCATGTTCATGGATAGGAAGTAGCAATATCATGAAAATGGCCTATTGCCCAAAGTAATTTATAAATTCATGCTATCCCTATCAAGCTATCATTGACTTCCTTCAGAGAATTGGAAAAAAACTGCTTTAAATTTCATATGGAACCAAAAAAGAGCACGCATAGCCAAGACAATCCGAAGCAAAAAGAACAAGCCTGGAGGCATCACACTACCTGACTTCAAACTATACTACAAGGCTACAGTAACAAAAACAGCATGGTACTGGTACCAAAACAGAGATATAGACCAATGGAACAGAACAGAGGCCTCAGAAATAACACCACACATCTACAACCATCTGACCTTTGAAAAACCTGAGAAAAACAAGCAATGGGGAAAGGATTTCCTATTTAATAAACGGTGTTGGGAAAACTGGCTAGCCATATGCAAAAAGCTTAAACTGGATCCCTTCCTTACGCCTTATACAAAATTAAGTTAAGATGGATTAAAGACGTAAATGTAAGACCTAAAATCATAAAAACCCTAGAAGAAAACCTAGACAATACCATTCAGGACATAGCCATGGGCAAAGGCTTCATGACTAAAACACCAAAAGCAACAGCAACAAAAGCTAAAATAGACAAACAGGATTTGATTAAACTAAAGAGCTTCAGCACAGCAAAAGAAACTCTCATCAGAGTGAACAGGCAACCAACAGAATGGGAGAAAATGTTTACAATCTATCCATCTGACAAAGGGCTAATATCCAGAATCTACAAATAACTTAAACAAATTTAGAAGAAAAAAAAAAAACAACCCCATCAAAAAGTGGGCAAAGGATATGAACAGACACTTCTCAAAAGAAGACATTTATGCAGCCAACAAACATATGAAAAAAAGCTCATGATCACTTGTCATTAGAGAAATGCAAATCAAACCACAATGAGATACCATCTCACTCCAGTTAGAATGGCAATCTTTAAAAAGTCAGGAAACAACAGATGCTGGAGAGGATGTGGAGAAATAGGAATGCTTTTACACTGTTGGTAGGAGTGTAAATTAGTTCAACCATTGTGGAAGACAGTGTGGTGATTCCTCAATGATCTAAAACTAGAAATACCATTTGACCCAGCAATCCCATTACTGGGTATATACCCAAAGTATTATAAATCATTCTACTATAAAGACACATGCACATGTATGTTTATTGCAGCACTGTTTACAATAGCAAAGACTTGGAACCAACCCAAATGCCCATCAATGATGGACTGGATAAAGAAAATGTGGCACATGTACAAAAATGGAATACAATGCAGCCATAAAAAAGGATGAGTTCACGTCCTTTGCAGGGACATGGATGACACTGGAAACCATCATTCTCGGCAAACTAACACAAAAACAGAAAACCAAACACCACATATTCTCACTCATAAGTGGGAGTTGAACAATGAGAACACATGGACACAGGGAGGGGAACATCACAAACCAGGGCTTGTCAGGGGATGGGGAGCTAGTGGAGGGATAGCATTAGGAGAAATGCCTAATGTAGATGATGGGTTGATGCTTGCAGCAAGCCACCATGGCACGTATATACCTATGTAACAAACCTGCACATTCTGCACATATACCCTAGAACTTGAAAGTATAATTTAAAAACATAAAAGGAATACAAGAATTGGAAATAATTTAACCATTTTACAAGAGAGAAACTACTAAATAATTGATGGTGTAGTTTTAGGATGGAACATAAACAGCCATTAAAAATCATGATTTTTGCATGTTCTCACTTGTAAGTGGGAGCTTAGCTATGGGTATGCAAGGCATACAGAGTGGTATAATGGACATTGGAGACTCAGAAGTGGGGAGAGTGGGAGGGAGATGAGGGATGAAAAACTACCTATTAGAGTAAAATGTACAATACAGGGTGAGGGGTACATTAAAATCCCAGACTTCACCGCTATATAATTCATCCATATAACCAAAAACCACTTGTATGCCTAAAGCCATTGAAATAAAAACAATAATAATAACCCTCTGTACTCTGGCATGAGAAAGTAAAATCAGAATCTATCAAGGGGGAGAGAATGTTTCAAAAATATCCACCCTTCATACTGTGAAACAGCGGTCTGCAATGCCCTGAGGTGCCAGTCCTGCCTAACACCCAAGGATGCAGGGAACATGAATCATATGACAAAGCTTGTAATCTAAGGAATCCTATTTGTGACTGTGTAATAGCTAAAGAATAGAAGATGGTGAGAAAGAAATGCATTTGTCCCGTGAGAAAAATTAGGAAAATATGAAAACAAGATCCATTAAAATTACACTATTATGTGGAGTGAATTAATTTATTTGCATTTTAAAATGATAATCTTACTAAACTTATTAAGGTATGATTCTTATCCTATTACATAAATGTTATATTCAAAAAAGAGGAGTAACACTTGGGGTTGTTTCTTCAGATTAATTTTTCCTTGTATGATTTGTTTTACTATCTAACATTTATTTTGAATGGCAAATGAGAATTTTTCATGTACTAACAGTAATTTTGCATATTTCCTCCTTTAATATAATGACAATTATATATGTTTTTTAAATAGCAAAAACATTTTTCTGTATTGCTTTGCTCTCATAAAATTTGCAATGATTAATTATTTTCAAAGTTATTAATCAAACTAAAAACAACATAAAATTTTGGAACTAGCTGAGAATGCTGGCAATTCAAACTTTTGAAGTCATTTTTCCATTTGTTTAAAGCTTTATTAGATGTTATGATGTTCTTATGATTTTGAAAGTTAAAACAGCAATTGAATTATTTTCTGGATTTATTCCTGTTAGCCACACCACTAAGACATCACTAGTTGTTTTAAGTTACCCTGTGTGAAAACTGAACACCTGGCAACTAAAAAACTCCACTGAAATAGTACAAGAGATGATACAAGTTATTAATGTAGGTGTAGATGTAGATATAGACATAGGTATATTAAATACATGTGTATGTGTTTATAGCTATAACATTTGATAATGCATAATTAGAGAAATAGGGGGCTTAGAAAGAGTGGTAAGCCATCACAGCCTTTACTATACATTACCTGCAAAAGGGGTTTTACTCAGTTGGTCTGCCCTGTGTGACTCCAGGTGAATGAAACAGATATTAGTTAGGCAAGTTCAGAAAACTACTTTTAATTTAAGTGGAGGTGGGAATTATTCTGCATATGACACTTATTAATAAAGAAATATAATTTGAAACAACAGCAAGTTTCTAGTTTTTATGTAAGTGGCTGTTAAACAGCAAAAAATTTGATAAAGAAATTATTGGTATAAGTAGAGTAAAAGTTGTTACTATGTAAATTGTGGCAACCACTCCTGAGGGGAATTTGTCAAAATTCATAAAAAATTAAATGTACATACTACTTATAAGAGTTTATGATGCCAGGATCTGGGGGATAGAAGAAATGGGGAGATTTTTGTCAAAGATACAAAGAAAAAAGAATGTTTGTTACATACATATAAATGTGCCATGTTGGTGTGCTGCACCCATTAACTCGTCATTTACATTAGGTATCTATCCCGGCACATTGTGAACATGTACCCTAGAACTTAAAGTATAATAAATATATACATATATAAAAATAAAAGATAAAAAATTAAAAAATTAAAAAAACCTGAAAGAAATAGAAAGCAAATTGAAAAAAAAGGAAGAAAAAGAATACATATGAAATTATTTGTAACGAAAAGCATACAGGTTTCAGTTCAAAAAGATTAAATTCAATGGAATTGATAAGATGGTCATTAAATAGTGTTTTAAAAGTCAAAAAAAGAAAAACGAATGTTTGATCCAACAAGGATATGGAGAACTTGAACTCTTATATTTTGCTGGCAGAAATGTAAAACGGTGAAGCCTCTTTGGAAAATAGTTTGGCAGTTGCTCAAAATGTTCAACGTAGAATATATAATCCAGCAATTCCACTCCTAATTACATATCCAAGAGAAATGGAAACATACATCCAGACAAAAATCTGAACATGAATGTTCATAGTATTATTTACAATAGCCAAAAAGTAGAAAAGTCCCACATCTTTCAACTAATGAATAGATAAATAAAATATGATAGATCCATATCAGTACTAAAAATGAATAAAGGGGCCAGGTACGGTTGCTCACGCCCGTAATCCCAGCCCTTTGGGAGGCCAAGGCGGATGGAGCACAAGGTCAGGAGATAGAGACCATCCTGGCTAACATGGTGAAACCCCGTCTCTATTAAAAATACAGAAAAAAGCCCACTTGATCATGGTGGATAAGCTTTTTGATGTGCTGCTGGATTCGATTTGCCAGTATTTTATTGAGGATTTTTGCATCAATGTTCATCAAGGATATTGGTCTAAAATTCTCTTTTTTGGTTGTGTCTCTGCCCGGCTTTGGTATCAGGATGATGCTGGCCTCATAAAATGAGTTAGGGAGGATTCCCTCTTTTCCTATTGATGGGAATAGTTTCAGAAGGAATGGTACCAGTTCCTCCTTGTACCTCTGGTAGAATTCGGCTGTGAGTCCATCTGGTCCTGGACTCTTTTTGGTTGGTAAGCTATTGATTATTGCCACAATTTCAGAGCCTGTTATTGGTCTATTCAGAGTTAGAATGGCAATCATTAAAAAGTCAGGAAACAACAGGTGCTGGAGAGGATATGGAGAAATTGGAACACTTTTACACTGTTGGTGGGACTGTAAACTAGTTCAACCATTGTGGAAGTCAGTGTGGCGATTCCTCAGGGATCTAGAACCAGAAATACCATTTGACCCAGCCATCCCATTACTGGGTATATACCCAAAGGACTATAAATCATGCTGCTATAAAGACACATGCACACATATATTTTTTGCAGCACTATTCACAATAGCAAAGACTTGGAACCAACCCAAATGTCCACAAATGATAGACTGGATTAAGAAAATGTGGCACATATACACCATGGCATACTATGCAGCCATAAAAAATGATGAGTTCATGTCCTTTGTAGGGACATGGATGAAATTGGAAATCATCATTCTCAGTAAACTATCACAAGAACAAAAAACCAAACACCGCATATTCTCACTCATAGGTGGGAATTGAACAATGAGGACACATGGACACAGGCAGGGGAACATCACACTCTGGGGACTGTTGTGGGGTAGGGGGAGGGGGGAGGGATAGCATTAGGAGATATACCTAATGCTAAATGACGAGTTAATGGGTGCGGCACACCAGCATGGCACATGTATACATATGTAACTAACCTACACATTGTGCACATGTACCCTAAAACTTAAAGTATGATAATAATTAAAAAAAATAAAAATAAAAAAATAAAAAATAAAAATACAAAAAATAAAAATTAGCCGGGTGTGGTGGCAGATGCCTGTAATCCCAGCTACTCGGGAGGCTGTGGCAGGAGAATCGCTTGAACCCGGGAGGCGGGGGTTGCAGTGAGCCAAGATTGGCCATTACACTCCAGCCTGGGTGACAGAGCGAGACTCTGTCTCAAAAGAAAAAAAAAAAGAATAAAGTTCTGATACGTGCAACAACATGGGTGAACCTTGAAAACATTACACTAAATGAAAAAGCCAGTCCAAAACTATATATGTTATCTGATTTTATTTATATGAAAGGTCTAAAATAGGCAAATCTACAGACAGAATGTAGATTAAACGTTTACTAAGACTAGACTGAGGATATATGGTGGAGAGTGGCTGTTAAGGGAAATGACATTTCTTTTGAGAATGACAAAATATAAAGCTAGATTGTGGTGATGGCTGTACAATTCTGTATCTATTAAAAATATTAAATAATGCTGTTTAAATGGGTACACTATGTATGCAAATTATATCTCAATGTAACTATTGAAAATAAAGTTATGATTCAGATAACAAGAAAAAAACTTAAAACAACTTAAATATATCAGTTACAAACTGATAGAATCCATGATGATATATCCAAACAATAAAAACACTCTGCAGATTTTAAAAGGAAAGTGAAGAACTATTCTTATGAATGGAGCAGCCCACCAAAAACTACATTTAGGTGAAAAAACAAAGAGTAGAATAGCATATCTAATAAATGGAAAGACAAAGTGGAATGAAGTATGTGTTTAGAGTATATTCTCATTTTTGTAAAAAAAAAAGTGAGTTTTCTTTACATGAGATATATGCATTTTGTTATCCAGATTATAATTCATTTATTTTACTACTCTTTACAATCAAACACAGTGATTTTTGAATCCTTTCTTCCCCTTACACTATTAAAGCTCTAAACTCAAGGGTCTTCTGGCAGCGTTTGTTTCTTTTTAATATTTCATCATCATTCTAAAAATGATCCTACTTCTGTACTTGAGAAGCCAGGTTCGTAGGCACATATCTGTGTGAGCCCACTCTTCCTTCTAAACATTTGTGCCAGACAAATGTCTGTTGAGCAGTGGTAAAGTCAGCTGGCAATGAGCAAAATCCTTCAGGCTGAAGCAATGTGAAGTGTTTAGCCCCATGGTTTTCACAGGCTGCTTGCTGTGGGATTGAAATAAGTAGTGTGTGTTCCTTTCCTGTTCCAACTAGAGTTCCCCAACACGACTGGAAATTGCTGTCCTATCAAGGTGTCTTTCTCCAGTGATCAAGTTTGGTTTTGAATCCATTGAGCATATGTTATTCAGACACTAATTCATTAAGAAAAAGTTATTGAAGACTAATTTCTTGTTATAATAATGGCTGGTTTGTCACTGTATCCTTATACAAAGTTACCTAAGAAACGATCAGACAGATTTTCACACTTACTATTTTCTAAACTCTCATACATTTATGATTTCTAGAATTTTAAAAATGGTAATTTTACTGTTCCTTTTTTACATTGCTAATTATATTACTAAGTCCAACATCTAGTTATGTTTAATAAACCTCCACAGTCACTTGATATTTTTAAACTGTATGTAAAAATAAGGTAAAATTTTAGCAGTGTGAACTAATTTTCCTTTTTAAATATATAACAAATTGAATACATTTTATTTCATTCTAAATTTTAAAACAAGTAAATTTGTGACATCATCTATAACTTCCAAAAATAAAACTGAAAGCCAAAGACTATTAATTATCATATATCAGATATGAAATTTGATCTTTATAACAAAGATCAAATGATTAATGTTTCTTTCAAAAATTGATTTGTGATCCTGATGTTTTCGGATCAATTGATAGCAATTATTTTTGTGCAATCACTTAACTGAAATGTGCAAAATATTGATTTTTTTCAGGTGAGACATAGGCTCCCTGAGCAGCTACAGCAGGAGAAAGAAGTAGTGGCATTTAATTCTAATTTATTCCTGAGAAAGTGGTGACAGACTGCAGTTCATGAAGTCCATGGCAAATGTTAGAAATGGTGAAATTATTCAGAAACATTAAAACTAAAAATTAAATTAGAATTCAGAATACTGAGTAATAAATCCCATGTCATTCATATTAGCATTGCCATTTAACTTGATGAAAGTTGCCTTAAAGAGACAAACTTATATCGCAAGGACTAATAGGAAGATGTATGCTAATTTTCTGATAGAGCAATATCAGAGAAAGTTGATTACAAAATTATATCAAAAGTGTTAGAACTTATATTATTTATAAAACTAAAGAGTTACATAATGGAGCTATAAAATTAACCTGGGGTGACAAAATTATTTCACTGCTATTGTTCTTCTTTAGTAGTGTGGTACAGGCCAGGTGCAGTGACTCACACCTGTAATCCCAATGCTCTGGGGGGGCCGAGGCTGGTGGATCACCTGAGGCCAGGAGTTCGAGACCAGCCTGTCCAACATGGGGAAACCCCGTCTATACTGAAAATACAAAAAATTAACCAGGCATGGTGGCGGGTGCCTGTAATCCCAGCTACTCGGGAAGCTGAGACAGGAGAACTGCTTGAACCCGGGAGGTGGAGGCTGCAGTGAGCTGAGATCGCACCATTGCACTCCAGCCTCGGCAATAAGAGTAAAACTTCATCCCAAACAAACAAACAACAACAATAACAGAAAGTAGTGTGATACATTGCATATTTACAAAAAAAAAGATTCAAAATTATTTATACAATATTTACTGGAGAGCCTACTAGAGATCAAGCATCGTTAGGAATAAAATGAAGAAAAGCACAGAAGTCATCCCACCATCCTTCATGTAGATTGCAATCCAGAGGAAAGAAAAGCAGGTCAGGCTCAATCATGAAAATAAATATATTGGTACAATCTGTGATGAACACCATAAAGAAGAATTTCAGGTTGCGAAAGAACTGACCTGCACATTAATGTATCAGTAAAATATAAATTATCTATTTCATCTTCTTTAAATCTTTTGTTCCAATAAGTTGACATTAACGTGCGTAGTAGATATAAAAATAGCTTTTTAAGTCTCTAAGATCAGTTGGGGAATGTTTGAAGTGACTTCTTTTGCTAAGGTTTTATCTTTATGACAAGGTATAAAATAAAAATTTATTATGTTTAATTGTTGATTTTTATTGCACAAGGTTTTTTACATTAAAAAGATAATTATCTCATTATTATATTAAGTGAAATTCTAAAAACCTTCCCAGACAGTATATGAAACTCATGAGTATGCTGAACACATTAATTCAACAAATTTTCTTAAGTATTATGAATAAAGATTTCTGATAAAATGAGAAACTTTTGTGTGGAGGGAGAAAGAAAAAACAATGAATATATACATCTAAATAGTAGAGGCTACACACAAAATAACTATACTACAGTTTCATCTTGTTGGGCCAGGGACAAAAAATAATGCAGGCGTGGGCTTAGCACTGTAGGTGAAATTTAGACAGGAATTGAGGAATAACAAGGCATAAAAAGTATATTAAACAAACTTCCAATATTAGGAAATTTCAGCATCTTTAAGGAATAGCAATCTTATTTGGTTTGAGAGAATTTAAGGTACTTATTAGGAATCATGATAAAGTAGGCTGGAAGAGCAGGGATGAATCAGATTGTCAAGGGGTTTTGAATGTAAAAGTAGGAAATTTCACATAATTCAGAGAGACTTTTGTTGTTGTTCATTATTTATTGTAAAGAAAAAATTAAACTGGTATTAAAATTTGTAAAAAAAAAATTAGGGAATATTTATGGGTATTTCTAAGGTACCTCTTGGATAGCTCCCAGAAATTAATGCTAAGTCAGACTAATGAATGCACATTTCTAGCAGTTAACTCAGAAATCCTTCAAGTTCAAACAATCTTAGCATGAAGATGTAACATGACCTAATTCTTGATCTTAGGCTCATAAGATTTGTAACAGCTAAAGGAGGACTATGTTTTTTCCATAAAACAACTGACAAGTTTATGAAGGTTATTTCTTCCACGTTTCTTACTACTACAGGGTCATGTTATGTGGCTCAGAAATTTTTAACATTTACAAATCTCATAATTGTGAAACAAACATGATAATTTTATTTGTCCTCAGTTAAACCTTGATCAGTATTGGTTTCATTTTCTCTTATATTAAATCAAATTTTCTATTATTTCTATTTATGTTCCTAGTGCTTTTACTTATATTTTGTTTTCTTGTCTGTTTATAAATCACAGATCCCAGGGATTTATGCTGTCTCCAACAGCCTCCTTTGTTGATGCTTCTGATGTGACACAAGGGGTTGATACCATGTGGACTTCTGTCAGCCCCTCTGTTGCAGCACCCTCTGTGTGCCAGCAGGATGTATGCCACAATGGAGGCACATGCCATGCCATCTTCCTCTCCAGTGGCATAGTGTCATTCCAATGTGACTGTCCACTACATTTCACTGGCCGCTTCTGTGAAAAAGGTAATCAATCTTCATTACCCTTTTGTATTTCTTTTTAAAAACCTCTCCAGAGAATGGACAGGAGTTGAAATGTATTGTAAACTTAGTGATGGGTACTAGCACAAACAAGAAACAGCTGTATAATTTTATTTAAAAATGAATTCTGATCGAATACTTTCAGTTTAGTATTGTAGAAGCAAACCTAAGATGTTTTCTGCATTAGGAATGCCATTCAACATATATTTCCAATTGCCATATAAAATAGAAGTTAAAATTCAAACATAGTGTTTTTTATGTAGTTACTTCTAAAATTATGGTGAATCTTTCCTTTGTTTCCACAGAGACAATTAGGTTCTAATTAATACTATTTTATTGCTTAATTGCCAAATAGCCACACTTATATACTTCATATGCAAATCCTCATATTTGAATTTAGTGTTTAAGAATAGTACATTAACTTTTGATGCTTAAGAATATGGTTTTAACATTAATGAAGCTGTTAATGAATGAAAAAAATATATTCTCCTATTGTCAACATCTAATAGCCTCCTAAGATGTTTTCAGTTAATTAGGGAAATGCTAGACAACTAAAGCCAGAAACACCCTGGACAGATTACAAAGGCATTAAGTCATGCTGCAGCTGACTTGTTGTCCTTGCACTGATAGCTGAAGTGTCATTGTGTCTATACAACTAATCTCCAGTTCTAAATTAGGGAGGAAGGGATGGGGATTACTACTGAATTATGATTCAGATAGCAGATAATTTTATTACTTATCCAAGACTGTATTTAATAAATTCCCATTTAAGCGCTAAAATGTGGGACATCCTAATGTTAATTCAAAGGGGTGTGTTTGTGTATGTGTATGTATGTGCATGTGTGTGGATGTGGATGTGTGTGCATGTGTGTTATTCCACCCTTCTTCCACAATGACTTTGTGTGACTGTGAATGTTTAATATTTAGCTAAGTAAGCAAGCAAATATAGTAAAAGGCACAGAAATGGAAACACAGTCTATTTTCATGTTTCTCTTAAGACATCATATAAGTGTTCTTCAAAATTGATTTTATCTATAAAATGCTCTGAAGATACATCACTATGGCTTGATTTTGAGAAAAGTATTTCATGTGTTTGCAAAATATCATGATGTTTGCTTTCTGCTATAATTTAAGGCCATTTATATTATATTCTTTGAGTAGAGAGATCTAGGGAGATAATTTGGGTTGTAAAGCTGTTTTAGATCTACATTTAACTATTTAAAATTCTGAGAGGGCTTTTTATCTTTTTAATTTTGTGCTAGGTGGAGTCTTAAAAAATACTCTTATTTATTAATTTATCTTGAGATGGAGTCTCGCTCTGCCGCCCAGGCTGGAGTGCAATGGCATGATCTTGGCTCACTGCAACCTCCACCTCCCAGGTTCAAGTGATTCTCCTACTTCAGCTTCCAGAGTAGCTGGGATTACAGACATTAGCCACCACACCCAGCTAACTTTTGTATTTTTAGTAGAGACAGGATTTCACCACGTTAGCCAGGATGGTCTCAAACTCCTAAAACCTTAGGTGATCCACCCGCCTCAGCCTCCCAAAGTGTTGGGATTACAGATGTGAGTCACTGTGACTGGCCTATTTTAATTTTTTAATGTTAGTGTATCTCCTGGTCATACACACGTATTACACTAGCAATGACCCTCTAAGCCATCATTTCTCTCTGTCCCACTGAATCTCCAATTCTCTCTCCTTTAACTCTTTACCTAGTATCTTTAACACTTCATAGAGTAACTGTATTTTCTTCCAGAAAAAAACAATGGAGGATTTTTGGAGTTAAGCAAGGTTTCACGGAGGTTTAATTGTATTTGATGTTTTGGTGGCAGAATATAGGAAAGTGACCTCAGGAAAAGAATTGGAAATCTATCCTATTTTTGCTGTAGAAATTATGTTTTCATATTATTAATCATTTTATACTTCTTAAGTTTTTAACTATTTTTCTTGCTGAATTTATAATATTTTAAAAACTAATAAATTGGATAATGTTTTGCTAACCATTAAGTAATCTATAGAGTATTTCTTTTTTAAAAGTACATGATAATCAGACACTATGACTAATATTTTTATCAATAATTAGTAATTACAAAATTGCATTTGAAGAATAACTTTAATTCATTAATACTGAGGCACATGATATACTAAACAAAATTAATGTAATAGGACTATTTTTAGATTATCATAATATTATCCGTAATTTTTTTGTTGTTGCCTCTTTTGGAAAATGTTTCAGTATAGTACATAGAGTGCCATATGATATGCATGTTCAGAACTGAAATTTTATTCGTAAATATTAAAGTGATGAATATTTATTTTTAACCATTTACTCTTTACATTTGAATAGAGTATCTTGCCTCTTTCTGTCATAAAGAAAGCCAAGGGCAGGATTGTGTTTTCAACCTATTGCTCTAAATGTAATCTGTGATGTTGTGTGCCTTAGAATCCATACTGACACATGTCGACTACTGCTACTGCCTAAGGTCTGTAATTCAGGAATCTGGTCCTAGGATGTCATTTTTTATAGCATGACTCAGGTTGGCCAGATGAAACCTGAATCATGCTATAGATGATGAAATTTAAGTGTAAATTTCAATAATTATTATATGCCATTTTCAAATTGTTTCAATTGCCTGGTAAAAACCTTGCTTTGGATAAACAGTCCCTAAATCTTCTCTATTTATATTTATTATACTTATATTTATATAACTTCTTAGAAATGTTCTTAGTATTAAATGCTTACGATTTACAGATAAATCAGAATTTACAGACAGAGTGCCATGAAAATAATGTTTAAATGAATCCCTTATTGAGTACAATCAACACCTAAAATATATGAACTTCTGCTTCAGGAATGAAATTTGCATAATATTATTGTGAAGAGTCCTGATTTACCAGATGCTACACTGAGTGCTTCATACATCTTATTTCACTTAACCCTCAGAATAACCCTGCTGAAGTAGGCTCTCTAAATTACCCCCATTTACAAATGAGAGATCTAAAGCCTTGAGTTGTTAAATTACTTTGTCAAGGTCACACAGTCTGTACATGGTAGAAATGGGATTAGAAGTAATCTTGGCTGAATCCAGATTTCACATTTAACCACCATGCTATATTACTGTACTAGCTGGAAAATCAAATTTAATGTGATGGCATAACAAAATTTTTAAATTCTTCCACTCTGTCATCTGTTTATGAAAAAAAAACTTTGCTTTAGGAAGAAAAGAGAGTTTTCTTTAAAAAATAAGATTTCAAAAATCGTCAAACCAAAGAAGTTAATGTTGATCTAGTAAGTTTTTAATGAAGAAGATATCATAATCCCCATAAAATTAAACTGAAAAACACATTGGGTGAGCCCAAAAAATTGTGTCTGAGTGGTCATATCTTTTCATAATGATTTCACTTAAACTAAAATATAAAAAGCAGATTTTAGAGTATTTAAATTTCAGAAAAATCTAGACATAACTGATGAAAGAACATGACTGAAAAAATATATAATTGCGTAGACATCTAGATATAAAGATATGTTGGAAACTGATTTTTCTTCCCAAGCCTCATTCCTTTTTACTTCTAGTTAATATTCTTAACCTGTGAAAGAATGTTAAAATATTTTATTTTAACAACTTTCATGTTACACAGCAAAATAGAGTTGTCAATTAAAGTATAGGCCTTAACTAAAATAGCACTAGATCCAGTAACACAGAGAAAGGGTTTCTGGAGCTATGAGACTAAGGAATGGGTCACCCACAGACATATTTCCCATCTACTTGACATTACATCATATGCTGCTCTACTTTATCAAATCATCCACATCCAATCAGCTAATAACGTTGACTTATAGAATTAGTTTGATTTAATATGCTCTTTTTTTCTTCAACACATGCTATCTTAATTCATATTAGCTAAACCTTGTTGCCTACTTTATCATAATGATCCTACATCTCACCAAGGGAAACATAAGAGCATATATTCTTGCTTTGTTTTATATGGCTGCATGCAGGCAGATGGCTGTCTCCTACTGTAAAGTTCAGAATGACAGATTTAGAATATCAGTGCCTTGTGTTGGGGAAAAGCGTATGCCTCTGACTATTAATTATAAGATTAACATTTTTAAACAGGCCCATACCTTTTAGTGTTCTATAAAACAGTTTTATAAATAGTAAAATAAAGGAGTATTTAAATGCCGTACATTAACAGCAAGAAATATTTTGTTTTAATTGATATTCTATCTACATATATTACATATATATTTAAAGGTTAACTGTACTGAGGAAATTACAAAAGTAGAAATAAAAGTGAGAGGCTTTACTAGGTGTTTTGTCTTGTTAAAAAAATAGACTGCCTTGATATCTTTGCTTTGCCATAACTGGAATATATTAAAAGTGTACAAGAGTAGTCCGAATTTATTTATTAACTTTAAATCAGATGTCTGAGTGTCAGGTATTCCATAGCTAAGAAGGCAAGGGAAACAGAGCATTAGTAAAGTTCTTACAACAGAGATTTATCTCTTCCAGAGAACTGATGGTCTACATCATCAGAAAAGGACCAAGAAACAGGTGTTTGCCTTTTCAAATGTTAATATCCATGTCTGAAAATCTGTATGAAATCAGAGAGCAATGCTGCATATTTATTAGTAAATGACAATGGCTGAAATACTGAGATGTTAAATTGAAAATAAATGGGAATTGAAGTCAAGAACAGTGACTAAAAGGAGACAAGATTACCTATTATCAAAGACAGGGGATTTCATTTTTGAAGTCAGAGGTAGACTGGAGGTTTATAACCTGCTCTGCTCTTCACTATGAACTACTACATTCTCCAGCAGGGAACACTGGGCTCAGCTGGAGACAAAGACAGCCTGCTCCCTATTCTCATACTTATAACTATGACACAATCCTCAGTGAGCTTAAATCAAGGTTTTGACAGGGATGTGTTCCTTACTGGAGTATCTAAGGGAGAATGCATTTCCTTGTTTTTTCCATCTTCTAGAAGATGTCTGCATCTTTTGGCTCATGATCCCATCTATTTTCAAAGAAAGCAATGGGAAGTCTAATTTTTCTCATATTGTATCTCTCAGACATACTCTTACACCACCCTTTACTACACTTAAGGATGCTTGTGATTATATAGGGCCCACTGAGATAATCCAGGATAATCTCTGTATCTCAGAGTCAGCTGGTTAGCAATCTTAATTCCATCTGCATCCCCAATTCCCCTTTGTCATGTAAAGGGGAATAGGCACAGTTTCCAGGAATTGGGCTTTGGACATCTTCAGGAGGCCATTATTCTGCCTACCACAGGACCTCTGGTCATCTTTCAGGAGACTTACATGATTACACGAAAAAGGAAACCTATTGAGTGGATATCTAGTGTTCATCAAATTGAGGGAAGTAAATGAAATCAGCTTAGAAAATGTATCAAAGGATGTTCAATGTTCTGGAAAGCCAGGGAACAAGAGCTATAATGAGGCTGATCTAGGAGCAGACTGGTCTATCCGCCCCCAGCACTGGACATGTGCCATGTTCTGAGCCACTTGCTCAAGATTCAGAGTCCCAGGAGACAGTCTGAAATTGACTAATTGGCAAAACCTCAACCATATGCTAACCCACTGCCTGTGCAAGAGAAGGAGAGGAACAAGAGGGGCCATTTTTCCTTGGGCTTGTGAAATAGTAACTAGACAATACAATCCACCAAGATATCACAAAACAGGCCTCTTCTTTATTTCAACACAAAAAAAAAATCATTCACAAAAGGCATTCATAGCATGTGTGCACATTTTTTTTCTCCCTGGATTTCTGTCTTTTATGTCCATTTATTTTGCAGAATAGTTTAGCAAAACTTTTTGTTGCCTTTCATCTGTGCAAACACAATGTAAATACATCACCAAAACATTTCCATAAACAAAGATTTTTCCCTTTACTTTCAATTTAGGTCATCGAGAAAAATATTTTATGGAGAAAATATTATCTTAAATGGTACTTAAAAGGATCAGTTTAAATGATACTTAAAAGAAACCAGAATGAACAAATACTTGAAGGAGAAGAGAGCTGTCTAGTTTAGTTTGGGAGCAGGGCACATATGGAATCGACTGAGAAATAAAGCTGGAAATTCAGGTGTGATTCATATGGCAGAGAACCCTAAATGACAGATTAAAATATAAAACATTAGAATGGTTTTCAATCAATCAAAAGACATAATGACCAGAATTGGACTTCAGAATGATAGATCTGAGAGTAGAATATAGAAAGGATTATGGTGGGGAAGAAGATGAGATGGGGAGAAAAATTGAGAAATAATTACAACAGGCCAAAAAATAGGATGAAAACTCTTTTAACCCTAATGCTTTCTAATAATTTGGAAGCATAGAAGATCTTTGTGTTCTCTTGTGCAGAATACAGTATAGATTTTTTTAACCCAAAATTTACCAGACTGGATAAGGCTTATGTCCTTTCATGTATTATTTTGTGAACAAAAATATGTGGTATAAAATGTGATTATAGAAAACAAGTCACAGTAAAGGTTCCATTCTTTCTTTTTGGCACTATCTTCTGCCCCACCTATTCACAGAAAAACTGAATTATATGCAGTAAAACTTGACCATGGCACAAAAGATATGGATAATAAAGAAAATGATATAGGCCTATTCTACAAAAGGTTACAGTCAAAGCATGAATGATCAACTAGCTAAACATTTGCAAGTACATGTATGCATGCACACTGGGAAGTATGATTTATCTTATATTTCTAATTCAGGGCTAAATTTCTTAACAGCCATGACTTCATTGCATGCATTCCTATTTGTTTTTAATACAATTATTATATACATTACGTGTATACCCACACATAAAGATAATTTGACACATAAAAGATAAATAAAGTACATGTTTAAAGTTTTTGTAGAATTATTAAAATCATTCACTATTGAAACTAACATTTTAGAGGTGCAGAAACAATGTTCAAAAAAAGTTTAGTAACTTAAGTAAACTACTAGTTAAAGACAAGTGTAGAACTAGAATACAAGGTCCATACAGAAAATGTACCACAGCATGTGTCCCCCAGAGTTTTTCAGGGGTATATTCCAAGTTGAATTGCAAGAAAAATATATTGAGTTGTATATACTTGTAATAAACAATTGCATAAACAGATAAGATACTAATGACCTCAATTGTACCAAATTATCTCTAGAGGATACGCATTTTACTCTAGGTATAGAAACTTAACATTTGATGAATTTACTAATTGTCCTTTTAATTGACAGACATGTTTAAAAGCATTTTTTTCTAAAATAAATTTGCTAACAAAAATGGAAAGTAGAAAATATCATTATAATTTCTTATATACTGCCAGAGAAATCACTTTTAAGTGACAATGGTTAAACAGTGGGAAGAATGAGAAAAAAATTGGTATTCAGTGATCATGCAACTTAATTTTTAATGGTTCCAGGACGGGGTGCACTGGGAGTGGAGAAAGGCCTTTTTAAAAATCTACAATGAGGAAATGCCATTTAAGCCAAAACTTAAAAAATAGAAAGTCACCAGAACTTTGAAAAGCAGAGGAAAGAAAGTTCCAAAGAGAATAGTATGCTGTCATGAACATGAGTATATAAGAATGATTTTTATGAGTTTTTTTTAAAAGGAAAACTGTAAGTACCGATAATTTTCTTGGACTTAATATAAGACTAAAACAAATTACTGAAGAAAAATCAATGCCTCTAATTTCATTCACTGATGTATTTTAAATTTGTAATCAGCCTATTGTCCCTCATCTCATGAATTTCAATAAAGTTTTATGGCCAAATGCTAAATATGGCTATTTTTTCTGATACTGCAACTCATAGTCTTTCAAAGAAAACACTATGCTTTTCCATAGGAGAACACATTTTCAGATAACTAAATTAATAGGGTTTAGTTGAGAATCTCAATGTCATTTAACATATTAACATTTTAAATAATGGTAGAGGAACTACATTAATATTTTTGTATTATACTATTTACAATAAAATAGTAAGGATGTGTAAGAAAATACTATTCTCTAGTTAATGGGAATAAATCAGGGAAAAGGATTGAAGAGTATAAATTTGGATGATATGAAAACAGACCAACAGTAAAAACAAGGGCTAATGTGAACCTGACCTAAAATGTTATTACACAATGGCAAAACAACAAGGAAAAACTATAATGAGCAGAGATAATTAAGAACAAAACGTGTGGTCTCTGGGAAATTCATTTTCAGACATTGTTGTCAACATGCGATGTGCCTTTGATAGGAAAAACTTAATTTAAGAATTTATATGTAAAAGACAACATCATGCCCTTACTTGTAAATACAATCTTATTAATGAAATTGAAAACTATCTGAGTAGAAGAATTTATTATTTAACTGTCCTGGGAATATTAAATCAATTTCAATTGCTTTAATCTATTTTGGTAAGTTTTCTCTGTGAATGTCTCTATTCTCTGTCCTAGGATCATAGATATGGACCTGAATAAATATGAAGAGATATGAGGCAATATGGAAATTAATCTTCACACAAATATGCCACCTTTTGCCTGCAGTTCTCTTGACTGCCTGTGGTTTAAAAGTAGGAAATGGAAACTTTGTGTAATCTCAATGTTTCTGAAGATTACAGTAGTCCCCACTACTCCACAGGGGATAGAATTCTAAGACCGTCCCGCAGTGGATGCCTGAAACCTCAAATAATACCAAGCCCTATATCCAGTCATCCTTTGTATTTACGGGAGATTGGCTCCAGGACTCCTCTCAGATACCATAAACAATCAAGTTTCTTATATAAAATGGACAAAGGAATTTTTCACATCCCAGGTGGGATGGATGGGGATGGTGTGAGATTTCATCACGGTACTCAGAAAGGTGTGCAATTTAAAATGTGTGAATTATTTCTGGAATTTTCTATTTAATATTTTTGGATGGCATTTGCCCATGGAGTAACTGAAACTGAGGAAAGCAAAACAGAAAATAAGGAAAAACTACTGTAATATCAGATTGTCTTAGCCCATTTTCTGTTGCTATAACAGAATACCACAGACTAGGTAATTTATAATAAACAGAAATTTAATGGTTCATAGTCCTGGAGACTAGAAAGTCCAAGATTGAGGAGGTCACATCTGGTGAGGGCCTTCTTGCTGTATCATCCCATGATAATAGACAAAAGGGCAGAAAAACAATGAAAGAGAAAAAGAAAAAGGGAGCCCAACTACCCCTTTTATAATGAATTCCCTCCTGTGATACTGGCATAAATCCATTCACTTTGTCCTCGTGACCTAATCACCTCTCATTACACCGAACATGCCAACATTGTTGCACTGAGGAGTAAGTTTCCAACACATGTTTTGGGGGTGCACATTCAAACCATAGTACAAATGTAGTAACTAAGAAATAGGAAAGCAATAGATAATAACAGCTAATATTTACCATTGTACAATTGGTACATACACACTGTCCTAAACTCTTTTCATGCATTTTCTCTTTCATTCCACACACCAATTCTGTGAATCAAGTGATAATTTATTAGTTGAAGGTTTTTTCTGTCTCCAAGTTATAGAAACCAACTCAATAATAAGTAACTTGCAGTGACTCATTTAATCCTCATGAATCAGTGTGATAGTGTGATTTTGAAGTAAATATTATCCTATCCCCGTAATTCAAGAGAAAAAATGGAGGAGAGAGTTTAAGTGTTTTGTCCATGGTTACTCAGCCAGTAAATTCTGGAATTGAGATTGGAATCCAAGCTTTTTGAACTATTCTACCTATCTAATCCAAGTTAAAATAAACAACGTTAGATTCAAACTTATTATATGAATATAAAGATGGAATCTCATAGAACCCTAGAATGAGCATGCAAAGATGTTTGCAGAAGGGAACTACAACTAGGAACAAAGGCACTCTCAGTATTTTCTCTGTTCGAGTCATGTTTCATTTTTCCTACCATGTCCTGATTGACAACGGATTTTGAATGAACATTGTAGAGTCCTTCTCCCAAGGAAGGGCTGAACCATTCTTAGATTGAACCTGGGGAAGAGATACTGGCTGTCCAGTTTAGCTAAGGGAACTACCCCTCATCCAATGGCTCTAGCCCAAAGTATGCCATGCCAGCCAGTCTGCTGAAAGTCAGCTCATTGATCTACCTGCAGATTAGAAAGCAGCTGCCCAAGAAGGAAGAATTACAGTGGGCTGGGAATATACCACAAAATATGTAAACTATAACTATTCATATTCCCATTCTCCTGGTGAAAAAACTGAGCACAGAGAAAATAATTTGTGGGGTCAACAAACCAGAACTCAGTAATTTGTGATTACCAAAGCAAGAACTCCAACCAAGGTGTATTTAATGCCAAAAATTGTTATCTCAAACTGCTATACATTTCTATTAAAATTTTTTACTTTAAGTTTTAGGGTACATGTGCACAATGTGCAGGTTTGTTACATATGTATACATGTGCCATGTTGGTGTGCTGTACCCACCAATTTGTCATTTAACATTAGGTATATCTCCTAATGCTATCCCTCTCCCTCCCCCTCACCCCACAATAGGCCCTGGTGTGTGATGTTCCCCTTCCTGTGTCCATGTGTTCTCATTGTTCAATTCCCACCCATGAGTGAGAACATGCGCTATTTGTTTTTTTGTGCTTGCAGTAGTTTGCTGAGAATGATGGTTTCCAGCTTCATCCATGTCCCTATAAAGGACTTGAACTCATCATTTTTTATGGCTGCATAGTGTTCCATGGTGTATATGTGCTACATTTTCTTAATCCAGTCTATCATTGTTGGACATTTGGGTTGGTTCCAAGTCTTTGCTATTGTGAATAGTGGCACAGTAAACATACATGCGCAATGGCGATCATTCAAAAGTCAGGAAACAACAGGTGCTGGAGAGGATATGGAGAAATAGGAACACTTTTACACTGTTGGTGGGACTGTAAACTAGTTCAACCATTGTGGAAGTCAGTGTGGCGATTCCTCAGGGATCTAGAACTAGAAATACCATTTGACCCAGCTATCCCTTTACTGGGTATATACCCAAAGGATTATAAATCATGCTGCTATAAAAATTCTTTCTTAACAAACAAAAACAAAAATAATGTCATCTATATTGAGATAGTAATGCATTCAGTTATTAAATGACCTGACTTGGTAGATTGTACTCAAGAATAATTTCATTTCTTCTAACACTGACTATTGAAATGTTCTATCAGATTTCTCTACCCTCTTAGTTTGTGACAACCTGGGAATATCCCATAGCTCTCAGGTCACTTGTAGGTATTGAAAAATCTAATCCAATTTAAAACTTCCCTCTTATATTCAATTTGAAACTGTCCACACCCTTCTGCCCTTCCCTTTGATCCACTTCCTCCTCAAAGCTAGAGTCTTCAAGGTCAGATCAGGATAGTAGAAATCAGGAAAAGCATCAAAAGTCATATTCCTTAGCAGGTGCTCATTATAATTCCGCATGGGCAGCAAATGCATTCTGTCATTGCGGCTGCATCAGTGGTTTGTTGGTGATTCCCCACAACACCTTTCCCTGTTGTAGGTTTTGCCCTCTCAGCTAATATCCTGCAAACTCTCTTTAGCAGCTCTCAGGGAAGTACATGCCTGCTGTTTTTGGCTGGTGCACATGACAAGGTTGACATGTTATTAGACAAGGTTATTTCTAGATGACTTGAGCCGTGTTACCTTCCTCATCATCAATTGGATCCCAGAAAATCTCAGGCATCACGGTTCTGCCAACTAAGAGAAGTGTAAATAAACCCATGGGTGAATTCTCACTTTCTTCAATAACTTTGCCGGCTACTCCAGCTGTCCAACTGCTTTCAAGATTCTCCCAGCAAGAAGCAGGCCCCAGTTTCCATTTCCTGCTTCCTAATTGTAGAATGTCAAAGGCAAACAAGGCTAGACATTACTTAAAGCAGTGAAAACAGATTTTATTCAGTAACTACTGACAGTAGGCGAAGAGCTGAGCTCCATTCTGATTTGTGTGATCGAGTCTTTTTAAGTGAGGGGGACAAGTAGGGACTCAAGTAGAGCCAGAGAAATGAAAAATTACTAAGGGTTGGTCAGTGTAAATGTGATTAGGCCAACTGTGTCTGCTAGCTGGCAATTCTCCCAAGTCAAGATTCTATCCTCCCACAGAGATAGGATAGAACAGAGGTTCTGTCCTTCTTGATGATTACATTTCAAAGGAATGTCTCTGTCTGTCTTTAAGAAAGAAACTTCTGAGTTGTAAGAGATACAATAAATCTCAAAGGGACACAAGAAGGAGTCATGATTGTAAGGCTTTTTAGTAAATCCTCCAAGAAAGGGAGGTCAGAGGCCTGTCTTCAGGCATGGCTGAAGCAAATAAATTCACCTGGCAGTATTGAGCTTTCTCAGGTAGGCATTTCAATGGAGGGGCAGGGGAACTGGGGTCATCCTAGGGACAGGGCCTCATGCTGCTAGAGATCATGCTAGACTGTGGTCCTCTCTTAATGCAGAGGCTTAGATAGAGTCATTATGTGCTGAGATTTCTGCAGTTCTCATAGATCATGTGTCTAGTCCTCCCAAGAAGTCTCTCTACACAGACAGCAACAGAGAGATTCCTACAACAACAGAGATTCCTACAAACTGCTTCAGCTCTGCTAGCATGTGTCCCACTATCAACTATTTCTGAATGATGCTTTTGGGGATTTCCTCACTTGGTTTGTGGTGGGGGTAGGATATGCCTCAGTGCTTTCTACTCTTAAATTCCTCTGAAGAATCATCTTCTTTGATAAACTCTAACTTTCATAAGATTTGGGGAGATGGTAGCTAGGCCAATGAACATGTACCACCTAGATATGTTTAATACCCATCTTTAGAAGGGGAGGTAGTTATCACCCATTGTTTGCAGTTTGGAAAATTTAATAAGAATTTAGAGAAAATAGGAAAAGGCCTCTTATAGATGTTATTATATTAACATAAAGATAGAACACATTATTATCAAGATGTAAATGAATCCACTCTTGAGGATTAATGGTATTTCTTTCTGCAGTTCCTTTTCTTGGGGGTGGCAGGGGGACGGAGTCTTGCTCTGTCACTCGGGCTGCAGTGCAGGGGCCTGATCTCAGCTCACTGCAAACTCTGTCTCCTGGGTTCAAGGGATTCTCCTGTCTCAGCTTCCCAAGTAGCTGGGATTACAGGAACCCACCACCATGCCCTGCTAATTTTTGTATTTTTAGTAGAGATGGGGTTTTGCCATGTTGACCCGGCTGGTCTCAAACTCCTGACCTCAGGTGATCCGCCTGTCTTGGCCTCCCAAAGTTCTGGGATTACAGGTGTGAGCCACCATTCTCGGCTCTTTCTGCAGTTCATTTCAAATATTTACACTGACTTATACCTAGTGTCAGAGGAGATTCAACTATACCCAAAACAGTTCCGAAGACATAGCTGAATTCTGAAGATCTTTAGTCTCTTACTTTTTAATCATAAAAGTCACATGGTGTTTACATTCTACAACACATATATTTTGATATAAACAGTAAGTAAAATCATTCTCCATTCATTTTATGTTTCTTCTATGACTACAAGCAAATCTGTTATCCTGCAGGCACATCTATTTGAAAAGCACAGGTTTATTGAAAAAGACTGGGAGTGGGAAGATAGGGAATTTAGTCTCAGCCCAATTCTCAATTAGTTATGTAACTTTGGGGGAATCTTGACTTTTTTGACCTTCAGTTTCTCTGTCTTTGAGAGCCCCTTTTAGCTCAAAATTTATTGATGCTCAGGTCTAACATGAAATCTCTTGGGTTCTGTTCAGCCATTGCTCTGGACTTCTTCGGACTAAGGAGCAGCCTCTGAAAGCATGCTTCACCAGCAAGGATGTCCCTTTACCTTGGCAGAAAAGCTTGTCAGTCAGCCTCTTCTCTTACTTTGCTACCCATTGTTTGCAGAATGTGTTCTCTGAGAAGCAGAATCCAAGACGGGGATTGTTATGCAGGAATTGTATAAAGGAAGCACTCTCAAGATCAGCAATATGTGGGGAATGGGAGGTAGCAGGATTGTGAAGGCAGAGCTTCACAGCATCCACCACACCAATATATCCCCCTATGACCACTTGAATTCAACAGTAGAGTATCCTTGTGTTTATCAGAATGGGAATTCTACCATGGGCTTCTCTTAGGCACATTCTCTGACATCACTCACAATCAAAACAACTTCTGAGAAACAAAGGATTTGGGGATAAAAGATGCTGTTTGGAATTGTAGAGAATACCTTAAAGTCCATATTATCACTTCTTAATTTTTTATTTCTAATTTAGAGACTTTGTTTGTCTCTTAGAGTTTGAAAATATGATTTGTTCTTGCACATGATTACCTGGGGTCTTCTCTTGGACTCCTAGCTGTTTCACTGATCTAGATCCATTACTGACTTCTTTTCCAATGGATCTGTGCTTAATTCTTTTTCAAAATACATTTATTTATCTGACATGTGTCCTTCACAATCCAATGCCTGCTAACTTGTCCAGCTTTGTTTTCCTTCAACCTCCTGCCATCCAAACCTAGAATCTAATTATACTAAGTGCATTTTAATTCTCCAACATTTCATGTCTTCTTGTGTCATGTCCCATGCCCGCCAATGTTCTTTTCATGTGGAACAGTATTTCTTAACCTGGTTACCTATTTTTCTTCTTTAGAGGCTCAAATCAATTATCAGTTTTGCTTGGAAGTCATTTTTTATCATCTACACTTCTATAGTATCCTATGCCTTTCTCTATTGTATTTAACATCTTCACTTTTCACAGTATATTAACTTAGTCTCTCTCCTAGATGGCAAAATATTAAAGAAAGTGACCACATTGCTTTTATATTTTTTCTTTCCCTGGCATGTAGCATAGCATCTGGGATATAGAAAAAAAATTAAACATTTTTATTACATTTTAAAATAACTGGATTTTTTTGTAAATAGGTAAGTAATCATTTAGCTATTTGGGTATATTTGGCAAATACCTTGGTATTTAGGGAAAAAATGAAAAAATATAGAAATTACTTCCATTTATAGCAAATTAGAGGCACTATCTCTGACTTTTCCTCCACTCAAACTAGTTCTGAATTTGAACATATTTTAAAATTTTATATTCATTTCAATCTGTGCCCTGAATATTCAGGCAACTCTCCTAACTTTAATTCACTGAAGAGCCCTTTATAACACTTACATTTACCCTTCGCTTCTTTTGTAAATCAAGTATAAAATATTTGGACTACGATATTTACAAATACACTTGAAAAAAAACTTTAAAAATTCCCCAGGAAGCTTCCTCATGGTTATCATAGCATTTAAAACATGACAACTCAACAGCTAGATAAAATATTTTTGGTATATCACTGAAACTTTGCTAGAATTTCTTGTCCTGAATAAATTGAAAACAATCCTTCATTTTCATATTTCATATATTCATAAATACTTATTACTCTCAAGAAATTCAAGCAACTCAACCAAATTTTGATCTCAATTTTAGTATCATAAACCACTGAACATTATCCTCTAGATCTTTAGATAATAGAAATCAGAATAAAGACAATGAAATGACTTGCAATCATTTTAACTAGAGTGGAAATTTAAAACCTATTTTGTAAATTTTCTAGGACTCCTTTGACAAATTTTACTTATTATCTCAATCAGATTTGCATAATTTTACATATATATTACATACATATCAAATGGAACATTACACACATATTATATGCATATCAAATGGCACATTACAAGGACTTACTAGTTAACCTTGTTGTAATTCCCTTCCATTAATCAAATAATAAATTCCATAACATAAATGTGAATTCCATAAATATGTTCTAGCCACATATACTCATTGACAATTAGGTTTAGAGGGCCTTTATTATATATAATATTTAGTCACACCTTTTTATATTTCTATGATTATGACTTCCTATGGTATTTTATTTACTTAAATACATCTTTAATCTGTGTAGACATTAATATGTATTTAGTGTGTACATACTCTGGGATATGTGGAAGTATATCCTGTGGAATGTGCATTGTCATGAATAATTGCATATATTTCTTCCTACTGCTATAAAAGAAAGATGGAAAATGACTATAACAAGATGCACTTTAATTAATCCACAAAACCATTAATGAAATGTTCTATGGCTTAAACTTTTCAGTAACAATGTCTTTTGCTTTTTCACACATTTTTAGCACCTGGTTTAAGGAAGAATCTAAAAGTCATATCTGTTGTGGATTCCAAAGTGCAGCACATCTGTCATATATTGGCAGAAAATGCAAAAGAGCCACTTAAGATTAGTTCTCATATTCAAATTAGCATGTGCAGTGCCAAAGCTGAGTTCTGGAAAGAACCTGTACACAGTTAACATTTTGTACAACGAGAAGAATAAAACAAAAGGAAAAAGAAGGCAAAAGCCAAGGTGAATTTTTCTTCTTACACAAGGAGTTTATATTGCATTTCAGTTCCCTTTCTAGGTTAAAACTTAAGATCTGTACACATTTTCACGTTAAGTTGATTTATAATTCACTTTTTGTAGAGGTGATAAAAAGGCATTATGTATGACTATCCAAAAAGATTTCTGTGTAATCACTTGAAAATAGCCAACATTGAGAATTGCTCAAAATGATGAATGTATGACTCTGGACACAATTAGAGTTTGTGAAATCAACCATACCATTGTTCAGATGTTTGAACATATGTTTGAAAGCCCAAACCGTTATGTGTATAGAATTGTTCACTATTGTAAAGCAATGTTTCCTTCATTTTAAACCCATTCGCATTATAAAAAAGGTGTAATCCACATATATCAGGTTAATTTACATTTAGATCATTTGAAATGCTGTCTTCTAAAATGCCCTCTAATGTTTCACTGTTAATATATTTTAAGGCATTAACATGTCACATTAATGCTTCATAAGTCTCTGGATTAGACTGTTATCTACATTTAATTCAAAGCCAGAAACTTTAACGGAATTGTGACCCTCATGCAAGTTTATTCATTTTGTATATATAGAGGTTTTCATCACATTTAATAAATGTAATAATTTTTACATTAATTGACAAATATAACACTTATACAGTCTTATACATATCATGCTGATGCATTTTCTATTCTGATCGGTTCCAACTCAAACTATTCATTGTGTTTTGAAATACTATGCATTTTCAGGGGCTTCTCAGAGGCTTTGCTAGTAAATACATTTTCATCTATCACTAAAGCAGAGACTTTTTCAGTTGAGCTCATGACTCAGATTATAGAGCACTTGAACAATGAAGATTTAGAAAGGTTTTTTTATATGTATTTGCTATGGTTTTAATGTCCCCTTCAAAACTTATGTTGAAATTTTTTTTAACTTTTAAGTTCAGGGGTACATGTGCAGGTTTGTTACATAGGTAAACTTGCGTCATGAGGGTTTGTTGTACAGGTATTAAGGCTAATACCCATTAGTTAGTTTTCCTGATCCTCTCCCTCTTCCCACTCTGCACCCTCCAATAGGCCCCAGTGTGTGTTTTTCCCCTCTATGTATCCCCACTTATAAGGGAAAACATGGAATATTTGGTTTTCTGTTCCTGTGTTAGTTTGCTAGAGATAATGACCTCCAGCTCCACCCATGTTCCTGCAAAGGACATGATCTCATTCTTTTTTATGGCTACATAGTATTTCATGATGTCTAGGTACCAAATTTTCTTTATCCAGTCCATCACTCATGGGCATTTAGGTTGATTCTATGTCTTTGCTATTGTGAATAGTGTTGCAATGAACATACGCATGCATGAGTCTTTATAATAGAATCATTTATATTCTTTTGGGTATATACCCAGTAATGGATTGCTGGGTTGAATGGTATTTCTGTCTTTAGGTCTTTGAAAAATAGTCACACTGTCTTCCACAATGCTTGAACTAATTTACACTCCCACCAACAGTGTATAAGTGTTCCTTTTTCTCTACAACCTCGCCAGCATCTGTTTTTGACTTTTAAATAATAAAGGTGTTAAAAAAAAAAAAAGTACTCCATCTCACAAATTGTACACGAGCAGGTTGTGAGCTAGATTTGGTGTGGAAGCCAAATCATATATGTATGAGTGTATATATATGTACCAAAATACAAGTGTATTTTTAATATATGTATTTTATATATAATCAGATTTAAATTCTTCCCATTATAAAATTAGCATTTTGTCATTTATCTTGGTGTTTTGCCTTTTGGGACTTATTGTTTTCTTTGTATTAATTTATTTGTATTTATGTTAATTATATAGCTTGTCATCTATCTTTTATTCATGACTTTTTAAAAATCTGACCTAATCGGTAAATTATTTGAGTAGTCCTACTTTTGTAATTATATACTTCCAGATTTTCTCTCTAGATGAGATTATTAGAAATTACACAGTGACAATTTAACTCAATATTTTACTTCTCTTAAGCTATATTTTTTAAATTATTAATTATTATTATTATTTGAGACAGAGTCCCAATCTGTTACCCAGGCTAGAGTGCAGTGGTGCGACCTTGGCTCACTGCAACCTCTGCCTCCTGGGTTCAAGCGGTTCTCCTGCCTCAGCCTCCTGAGTAGCTGGGATTACAGGCACATGCCACCACGCCCGGCTAATTTTTATATTTTTAGTAGAGATGGGTTTTTACCATGTTGGCCAAGCTGGTCTCAAACTCCTGATCGCAAGTGACCTGCCTGCCTCCGCCTCTGAAAGTGCTGGGATTACAGGTGTGAGCCACCGTACCTGGCCAAACTATATTCTTTTTGAGAAGGTTAAACAGTATCATGTCTGTTTTATATTATAAATATTATAAATTACAAAAGGCTGTAAACATCTATGGATACATTTTATATATATAAACATATATAATTTAAATATTAATCTATTAATTCATATATAATTATGTATGAATTAAATTTTGCTAAATTTTAGCAAAATTAAATTTTGCTAAATTTAATTCATATATATGCATATAAATGAATTAAATTAGATTAATATATGAAAAAAAATATATATATATATGAATTAGATTAATTTAGCAAAATTTCAGCCAAGGAAAAGAGAGGGTAGATATCATTCACATAAGGGTGAAAACAGACTCCATGAGATTGAGTGACTGACACGTCAAAATCTGAGAGCAAATTTAATTTTACCCATTGATGGTATGAGAAATGATTTTAAGCACTGCTTGAACCAATATTATTGACATTTTAATACCCAATAAAAAGTTATTTTTCTATCAACTGTCTTTTGATCCTTCAGATTACCTAAAGTCTCCATTTGTTGTTGTATCTCTAAATTGTCTACATTTGCCAATTAAAAATAAATGCAGATCTCAGATTTAGAATCTTGGAGTAATGTCATTAGGCAGGGTTCTCCAGAAAGACATGACCAATGGAAGATAGACGGATAGATAGATTAGAGGAGATTAATTAGAGGCATGGGTTCATGCACTTATGGAGGCTGAGAAGTTTCATAACAGGCCATTCACGACCCCAAGACACTCAGTTCAAATCCAAGTCCAAAAGCCTCAGAACCAGGGAAGTTGATGGTGTAACTCTCAGTCATTGGTTGAAGGCCTGAAAACCTGGAAGGCCATTGGTGCAAGGCTCAGAGTCCAAAGGCTAGAGAGCCTTGAAGTTCTGATGTCCAAGGGCAGGCAAAGAAGGGTGTATCAGCTCCAGTAGGGAGAGAGAATTCACCCTTCTTCTGCTTTTTTGTTATACGCAGGCCCTCAGCCAGTTGGATGTTGCCTAGCCACACTGACGGTACATTTTCCCCACCCAGTCTACTGATTCACACACCAATCTCCTCTGTAACACCCTCACAGACACACCCAGAAATAACACTTTACCAGCTCTCTAGGTATTTCTTAATCTAGTCAAATTGACGCCATTGAGAATATGAAATATCAATCTTGAATTTAATCATTGCCATTATTTTTAAAGTTTCTGTTGTGGTTTGAGTCGTTTCCTCTCACAATCTATGTGTAGAAATACTCAATCCCAGTACTTCAGAATGTGACTATATTTGGAGATAGGGCATTAAAGAGGTGATGAAGTCAAAATGATGCTATTAGTATGGGCCTTAATTCAATCTGACTATAGTCCTTATAAAAAGGAGAATTTGGACACAAAAGGAGACACCACGGATACAGGCTCACAGAGAAAACCATGAGAGGACACAGAGAGAAGGCAGCTGTCTGGAAGCCAAGGAGAGAGCCTTCAGAAAGAACCAGGGCTGCCAACACCTTGATCTTGGACTTCTAGCCTCCAAAACTGTGAGAAAATAAATATTTTTTAAGCTACTCAGTCTATGTAACATAACTCGCTATGGCAGCCCCTAGCAAACTAATATAGCTACCATCCATTTTTGGAAAATGCTAATGATCGATTTTCCATAGTGATATGAAGCTGTCTTTTAAAAATAAATTAGCTTATTCAGAAAGGAAGAAAGAAAATAAATCAGAGCAGCATTAATCAAATTCTTAAAGTTTATGATATGTAGAAAGTAAGTTGTAACCTACACATAGGGAACACCAAAATTTAGCGTTACATGCGGAAAAGGACAAATAAAGAGACAGAAGATTAAGGAGTTATTAAACAGGCAGGCAATAAACTAGAGTAGAAATACCATAAAGGAAGTCAAAGAGAGAGAGGTTCAGGGCTCATGACACGTCATTGTGTAAAATACAAAGATCCAGAAAAATAAAAGTATAGAAATGATACTGGACTTTCCATTAAAAAACAGAGCCACAACCAGACTGTCAGGAGGTGATTTGAAAATAAGCTGAGAGAGTGGTTAAGCAGAAAAGAAAGAACAAGGGCAGCAGCTAAAGGCAGAAAGAGAAACTAGTAAAGATTTTCAAATTTAAGAACAAGAGCTGTTCTAAAAGCAGAGGGAGGGGACTAATAAGGACAAATATTTGATTTAAAAAACAGCCTTGTAGAAGTGAGATCCTGAAAAGTTACTGCAGAAAGAATATAATCAAGAATAGAACAGAAAGCCTGCTGGAAGATAATCAAATGGAGGGAAAGCATAAATGGTATTTAAGATTGCATGGCCATTATGCAGATATATGAATATACAGTATCTAAAGAACTCAGAATTGTATATTCAGTTATGATATGAGAAACTGAGTCCATGTTTAGATGCAACTATGACAAAATATTTCAGCTTAATCAGTTTTCAGGATCCATGAGAGGAGGAATTAATAAGACTGAAAAGAGAGAAAGTCTCAAGAAATGACCAGTATGATATCATATGAATTATGCTCTCTTTGAAATATTAACCTTGTGCTATTCATATAGCATAATTATTACTAGGAAAAATATGTATTATAGAGTGATAGATTTACTCAAGCTACTGTATCTATCACTTGGATTTATAATTTTAAAAATTTAAGAAATATCACCTTATGGAGTGGCTTTTAAAGTGAAAATTGATATGGCAGTTGTTAAGCACAATTTCATTTCCTTGGTATTTGCTTGGCTTACTAGCTCATTATTTTTAGATAGTAAAAATATTCCCTTAATGCTGAAATGTCAATGCAAAATATATATAGTAAAATGAAGAAGAAATAACATAGTAGAAAAAAATTAAACTCTGAAGAGGCCTAGTCATTTCATTGCAAGAGAACATTAGTATCTATTAATCAATTTAGTCATGCTTTTATTTATTCAAAAACATTTATTGAAGGTTTAACATGAGCAATTACAGTGGAATATGCACATAGAAACAGAATCTTTCTCCAGTTTTGATTTAATATTTGCAGTTACTTCTACTGTCCTTGCTTTTTTCCTCATAATTATGGTCACAAATATAATATCTTAAATTAATAATATACTTACATTCAAAACTTTATTAAAATAGCTCATTAAGAGAAACTAAGCATAAATATACTTGTAACCCAAAATACTATCACACACCATAATCATTCATTTTGGATTTCTAAAATATTTACATTTTATACATTTTTGTAATTTTGGCCTTAAAATTTACCTCAGGTAATCTAGGTTCTAAACCTTTATTTGAATAGCCATGTAAATTTACTGTAATATACCGTTATTTTGTTTCTTTTCTGTGGCTAACCCTCCCAGAGAATAGCCAGAAAAGTCTGATATTTTAATAAGAGAAGAGATACTAAAGACAGTTTGATTTCATGTACTAATATTTACTGCCTCTAAAGTATAATGTGCTCTTTTAGCTGTGTAACAATGTAATAAAATACATATTTAATATTCTACAAATGGCTTTAGGATAATCCAAAAATACATAAATGGCTTTAAAAGGCTGCATAATATTACAACCAATATTGGAGGAAATCAGACAGAAAAGCTTCCTACTATAAATACCGGTTATATAATCCCCACACACAGGAATGACACAGAATTCTCACAGAGATGATTTTGTGGAACACATGAACGATAATGCTGCAGTGAAATCGCCATCCTTCACATCACAAGATAAGCTAGGTGAGAATAAATTATTTTAATAATGGGTCTTTACCCCATAGCACTCCACTATTCACATATATTTAGATCAGAAGAATGACAGAAAAATTTTGAGATCTGTACATGCTTGCATCAGCTATATAAACAATATCTGAAAGTTGGCATAAACCTGACTGGGCACGGTGGCTCAAGCCTGTGATCCCAGCAATTTGGGAGGTCAAGGCAAGCAGATCACATGAGGTCAGGAGTTCGAGACCAGCCTGGCCAATATGGTGAAACCCTGTCTCTACTAAAAAATACAAAAATTAGCCGGGTGTGGTGGCACATGCCTGTAATCCCAGGTACTTGGGAGGCTGAGGTAGGAAAATTGCTTGAACTTGGGAGGCGGAGGTTGCAGTGATCCGAGGTCGCACCACTGCACTCCGGCCTGGGTGACACAGACTCCCTCAAAAAAATAAAGTTGGCATAAACCTCACATATGAAGAAAACCTTGATGAATTCTCCCTATTTTGTAAAAAGAGCCCATTTTCTTCCCTTACCTTCTCACATCTTTTTCACTCCCCCAAACTTCATGCAGTATCCTTCAGATAATTAAGACTGAGGTAATGCATTAGCTAGTATGTAAACTTTCCCTATTATAACAAGCTATCATCAGTGAAGTTCTTTATATTTAATAGTACTACTCTCTTAGTCTGTTTTCTGCTGCTATAACAGAATACTGCAGACTGGGTAATTTATAAAGAAAAGAGATTTATTGGGCTCCTCGTTCTGGAGCCTTGGAAGGCCAAGATTGAGGGACCATGTCTGTTGAGGGCCTTTGTGTTACGTTATCCCATGGTGGAAGAGCAGCACACAAGATAGAGACAAAATGGGGACCGAACTTGGGAGTGGGTTAATTATCAGAAGCTCACTCCCATAATAATTAACCCACTCCCAGGATAATAGCATTAATCTACTCATGAGGGCTAACACCCTCTTAAAGGCCCCATCGTCCAGTACCATACATTGGCAATTAAATTTCAACATGATCACTAACACACACACAGAAAATCAAATACTGCATGTCATCACTTATAATTGGGAGCTAAATGATGAGGACACATGGACACATAGAGGAGAACAACACGCACTGGGGCCTATTACGGGGTGGAAGGTGGGAGGAAGGAGAGGATCAGGAAAAATAACTAATGGGTATTAGGCTTAATACCTGGGTGATGAAATAATCTGTACAACAAACTCCCATGACGCAAATATATGTATGTAACAAACCTATACATATACCCCTGAACTTAAAAAAAATTAACATGTTTTTTGGAGGAAACATTCAAACTATAGCAAATACATATCAAAAAATCTTTCTTCTAAGTCTTCATTGTTCAAATGCTCTATAATCTGAGTTGCCACAATCAATATAGTGTAAGACGGTTAAGCCTGTCACGGTGTGAAACATGCATCAGTAACACAACAGCCCTCTCATTCTTCCTTGCTTAGCATATGGCTATCATGATCAATCCAGGTCCCATCTTTCGATGTTGTAATCTTTATGATTTTCACATATCATAAAATTCATGACAAGAAAATCAATTCTCAGGTTGCAAATATGACAAAAGTCACAGAATTTCATAAAGCCAATCATTACTTTAAAAGCCACTGATCTAGCAACTTTAAACCACATAACAATGAGTTGAAATTAGAGAATCAAAAATAAGTTGTATGACAGAAAAGATGTTTCAAAAAGTTATTTGAATAACAAAATAATAAGAGAGGCCCTTGGGAAAACCAGTGAAGTCCTCTAATATTTTTTCACAAAAATGTCTCTGGAACAAAACGTGAAGAGTCAAATGTGGTATAAATACTGCTATATTGTGCTATTAGACTAATTTTAAGAAGAATTATACCAATAACTAGTATAGTGTTCTAATTTATAAAATCTACACATTAAATATAAAATAGAATAAACTTATTTTTATAATTTTTAGTTTCTTTCAAGAAGATAAATTCTTAATCAAATTATTTTTCATGTGTGTTCCTTTTTAAAAGTGAGTCTTACCAGGTAGATTATTTTGGGCAGGGGAAGATGCATATACCAATTACTCCTTCAAATTAAAAACCTGATGCATTCACTAAAATTTCTGAACAAATAACAAGTAAAATGCCTACTAATGAGATACTTTCTCTAAAAAATAGAGTATACTTTGAGTAAGCAACTGGTAAGGCCACTTGCAGGTCTGTATTGACTAACAGTGAATTTCTTTCTCTCTCTCTCTCTCTCTATATATATATATGTGTGTGTGTGTGTGTGTGTGTGTGTGTGTATGAATGCCTATTCCCTTTGAAAGCCTTTCACAAATACCACAAAGTGTTGATGACAACATGGCATTTTGACATGGTGATCTTCAGCGTTTCACCATCAAGGGGTGCCTGTAAATCATCCTAAGAAATAGCAGGATATCCTGGCACCTGGTTTATTTAGAGATTGGGTCAACGCTAAATTACTTCAGAAAATATCCTGAACAAAACTGTATGTCTGCACATAATTACTTTCATTATAAAAAAGAAGAATTAATTTGCAAATCTAGATTATGTGTTCTGGTTAGTGAAATTTTAAAGCATAAAACTTCAACTAGCTGCAAATTTACCATTTCATTCTGCTTCTACATAAACTGCCTTCAGTGGCCTCAAGAAAGTGCTCAAATTGAAATCCATCAGGTCATTATCGTCAGGCTAATGAATCAACTATACCAAGAAATTGTAATGTTGTGTGCATGTATAAAATTAACCATGATTATAAAGATCAAAGTGCATCACCCAATTATAATTTAAAAACTGGAAAACACAAAGGAATAGTACAAATACGACTGATCTTAATAAGTAGACAAACTAAATTGAATAAAAGTTTGTAAAGAAATAGAATTATGCAAATTTTTTTGGTTTCTATGGAAATACAATATTTTTAAATGATTTTAAGCAATCCCTCTGTGAATCTTAATTAGAAATTGGAAGCATGAGCTATGAAAAGGGCTTTCAATTTTTTCTCTACACTTTATGACAATTTCAAACTACAGAAGAGCTGAAAGAATCCTTATAACTGTATTACCACCACTTAAATTCTATTGTTAACAATTTACCAGAAATATTTCATTACATATCTACCCATCCCTCTATCAATCCATCAGTGCATTTTTTGATACATTTCAAAGCTGCAAGTTTCAGTCCACTACACTCCTAAACACTGTAGTGTGCATATTATGGAGCTCAATATTTGCTTGCAAATTGTTTCTTTGAGGTAAAATTCACAAGAATGAAATATTCAATTCTTTGATGTACCATTAGATGAATTTCAACAAATGCATGAACTTAATACAAATCCCTATTAGATATTAAAACATGATTCCAGAAACTTTTCTTGTGCTTGTTCATAATGAATCCCTTCCCCAGAAATTCCAGAAGCATCCACTGTTTGCTATTATTTTCTATGTTAGTTTAACTTGTTCTTGAACTTCATATAAATGAAACTACTATATAGTGTGTATGTACTACTATGCAAGTCTTGCAGCGTGTTTTTGAGATTCATCCATTTTTTTAGTGTACCAGTAGTTCATTACTTTGTATTTCTGAGTAATATTTCATTGTATATTTCCCATTCCTAATGATGGACACCTTGACTACTTCCAGTATCCTGTATTTTGCTACAATTAAAAAAAGATGCTATGACATTTCTGGAAAAGTCTTTTGGGGAACATGTATTTTCATTTTTCTTGGGTGAATTCCCAACAGTGAAATTGCATAGGGTAGGTTTACGTTTAACTTTATGAGAAACTGCCAGATCTTCTTTCGAAGTGATTGTGAGTGCTTTTGCTTTTAAAATAAAATCAGATATTTGAAGAACATTGCTTTGAAGCAATGACCTGCAATGTCAACATGAAAGTCTTAGAAAGAATAACTGACACATCAATACATATGTTTCCAGAAGACAGAAATAAATTATTCTCCATATTAACCCCTTTTAATTACATGCTGTAGTTTATTTAATGTACCTAAATATTTAATGCCAGGTATTTTAGCCTCAAATAGTTTATTTTCATATATAGTCAAATGTGATTTAATTCTTAAGGTAGAAAGATAAGAACCTTGGAAGGCATAAAATTTATATTGGATACTAATGTATTTTAAGAAAGAAATGATAGTTGTAATTATTGGCACTATGGCTTCAATATAGAATTTGTTGATTAAATAACTGAATACAATTTTTATTTTTTCTGTTCTCCCTCAAAGTACTTGTTCATTCGTACATAAATTTACTCATCAACTCAGTAATAATTTATGGAGTGCCTACTATGAGTCAGGTATTGCTCTAGACCTGAAACAAGTCAAATATATTTACTATTGTTATTGGTATAGTTCTGTAATTGTTTTATCCTCTTACTCTGTATTTTTAACATACAATCTTTTTATTTTTAATGTCCCTCCTTTTCTTTTTCCATCTCCTATTAGCTGTCATTGTAACACATTCAATCTTAAAACATACAGAAAAACGTGGTCAGAGGCAGAAGTTTTGGCATAATCCCATAGAAGCCATGCATGCATGAGCTACATTGCCTTCCAATTAGTCTAGTGGATGCTGTACTTTAGGGGACCCAAATAATTCTCCAAGAACAAAAGCTTCCCTTGACCTGCAGTCTGGCTCACTCAGATGCCCTTACACTCTTCTATATGTCCTCACTCTGGCTCGTGACTAGGTTCCTGCATCCAAGGCACTGATTCTCAGATTTACAGTAATGCCCACCACCAAACAGAGGGCATCACTACTGCCAAGGCTTGCCCACCACTTGGGAACTCTTTAGCTTCATTTAATGTTGAAATCAGGCCCTTTCAGACACTGAGTCCATTGGCTACTCTGTTCACGAACTGGCTTCCAGTCATGGATTGCTACCCTTCACAGCAGACATCTGGCACATTTTGACACTCATTTCTGCCTTTATAGTCAATCTCTCAAATGACCTGGAATTATCAGACATATTACTCCTCTCCCTTCAGGGCTTCCTGGACATAGAGGAAACTCTTGTCGTGCCACCTTATATCTCTCAGGTCTTTGACTCTGTATTAGTATCTGAGGGCTACTGTAACAAATTACCATAACTGAGTTACTTAAAAGCAACAAATTTGTTTTCTCACAATGTGGAGACTAGAAGTCTGAACTTGAAGTGTTGGCATGGCCACACTTTCTCCAAAGGAATGTAGAGGAGAATCCTTCCTTGCCTTTTCCAGCTATTGGTGTCTCCAAAGCATTCCTTGACTTTGGGCTAAATAACTCTAATCTCTGCCTTCATCTTCACATCACCCTTCCTCATATATCCTTTCCCCTTCTCTTTCCTCTTCAAAGGATACTTATTGGACTTAGGGCCTACTCTCATGGAGGATGATCTCGTCTCAAGGTTCTATGTTAATTACATCTGCAAGGTCCTTTTGCCAAACAAGATTACATTTTCTGGTTCCAGGTAGATATATACATTTTGATGGGCCACAAATTCAACCCATTACAAACTCTGTCGATACTGTTTTCGATTATCTATGCTTCTTCATGTAGACCTAATCCAATTTCACACTTGAATGAAGAATATTGCCAGCTAGCACATAACTTATTTTCTGAAATAAGTTTTATTTATTATTAAGTAAAAAATAATTGTTTCTTGCTTCGTTTTTTTCTAAAAAATAAACAAGAAATTTCATACAACATGAAAGTCTTTGGTTGAGTGGTGATGGGTAGAGTCTAAGGAGAGAGAACATATCTTTCTTCATCTTCCTACAGCATGATTTTAGAGATGCTTCTCAGAAAATAACTGGGAATGGAATTTTGAAGGCCAACTTGAGTTTGGTCTCCCTCTCCAGGGATTGATCTGAGCAGTTCATGGTATGAAAGAAACCAACAAAGGAAAGCACATGGAGCAGACCCAGCCCTCACATTGACAGCAGTCTGCGAAGACTCCTAAGGTTATAGCAGAAGAAATGAGTAGGGAATCCATAACCATTGCTACTTCTTGGGGTACCCCAAAACTTGATAGTACAAACTTGATATTTATTTGCAGCAGTTTGTCTCACTCAGAGCTTTTCAAGCTTGGCACTGTTGACATGTTTTGTAGGGTCTGTCCTGTGCATTGTAGCATGTTCACTAACCTGCACTCACTTAGATGACAGTCATACCACTTCCTAGTTGTGGTGACCAAAAATATTTCCAGACATTGTCAAATGCTCCCTGGGGAACAAAATCACTCCTAGTTGATAACCATTTATCTAGGTGAACATGATTAATATTCACCAGCAAAAGTATATCCTTAAATTAAATACATTCTGTTACTTTAAAGTTGCTGTGAAGCCATCTTCTGAGATGCAGAAGTTTTTCAATTAAAAATACTTTAAAAACCTTTTGGATTCTCTGTAGTTTCACAATTTTTTGTTCCATGAAGCATATCTTTTAGATAGGTGTAACATCTATTTCACTCTTTTTGAGAATTGATAGAATTTTTTTCAACGTAATAGGGCTATTTAGGCCTCTTATATTCCAGGTCATTAATTTTAATGGTTAAGACATTGTTATATGGCACTCTCAGACAGCAAAAGTGCAAACTGATAATTCTAATCCTGTGTGGGGAAATATTTTCCTTGGTAAAGATAAAACATTCATTTGAGTTTAGAAACATTTCATTTCTAAGGCTCCATTTTATTTAAAGCTCCATTAGCCCCAACATATTGAATAATAGCTCACTATTTTGCCCCACATATGATTCATTTGAAGTAGAAAAGCTCATAAAAATATCTAACTAGTATTTATAGACCTTCTGTCTCTATAATACAATAGGAAGTGTTTCTAATTATACTGGGATTAAAAGGAAGCAAGGAAACAAAAAAAATGATGTAAAACAACAGCCTATCCTTCATTTCAGATAACTTCCTATCCTTACTTGAATGGATAATTCTGTGAAGTTATCTATTAATATGTCAACTCTCCTTCATCTGGCAAAACCTATACTAAAATACTTTAAATTATTATTTAAGAAGCATATAATATGATTAAAAGCTGAATCACATTGGCTTTTATGTTTCAGACCCCAGAAAATTCCAGAGTTTGGTGAATTTCTAAGAAGATGGATCAGTTTGGACAGTTTCAGTCCAATAAGACATTTATTATAAAAATACAATTAGTGGACAAAGTAAAAAGACCTATATGAATGAAGTATAGACTAAGTACTCACTATCCCAAAGCCTTTGGAGACTTTCTTTTATATGGTCTTTCCAGGTTTTGTGTGGACTAATGTTTATATAATTTTGAGGGAGTGGACCTCTTAAAAAATAATACAAATTATCAATACTAATGTAAGCTCGCAGCCATAAAAAAGTTTCTTGCAAATTGAGAGCCCTGAAGCTTAACCTTCACAGCCATTGCCTTTATCAGGATCCACTTATTTTTCTGCTTCTCTCCTGTTCCACATCAAAATACCTCCAGGAATTCTGAGCCATAATGAACTCTGAGTCTGACACTCATTTCCAACAGATCTGAGGAAGAGATAGGACAGAATGACACACTGGCACCCTTTCTTTTGGTGTTTTCTTTACTTACCATAGGCTAGTATGCAATACTTGAATTTTTTACTTTATAAAAATTTTTTAACTGTTATTGAGCACATACTACAGAGTTATATATACCCTAACTTCCATACACAATTTCTTATTAACAACTTGCATTAGTGTGACACATTTATTATAACTGATGAATAAATATGAATATACTATTGTTAACTAAAGTAGATACTTTATATTAGAGTTCACTCTATGTTGTAAAGTTCTGTAGCTTTTGGCAAATGTATCATGTCACGTGTCCACCATTAGAATATAATGCAGAATAATTTTACCACTGTTATATCACCTGTGCTTTACCTATTCAAATCTTCCCATTTCCCTGTAAGCCCCTGAAAACCACTGGTCTCTTTTACTGCCTCTATAGTTTTTCCTTTTCCAGTCTCTCATATAGTTGGGATTATATAGTTTATAGCCTTTTCAGACTGGCTTCTCTCAATTAACAATATATATTTACATTTCTTCCATGTCTTTTTGTGGCTGGGTAGATCATTTATTTTTTCCCTAAATAGTTTTTCCTTGTCTTAGTACATCACAGTTTGTTTACCCATTCACCTACTAAGGGACACTTCGGTTGCTTTGAGTTTTGGGCAATTATGAAAAACCTGCAATAAACATTCAGGTGCAATTTTGTGTGGACACAGTTTTAAAGTCCTATCAGTAAATACCTAAGAGCATTTTTTTCATATGTTTGTTGGCCACATAAATGTCTTCTTTTGAGAAGTGTCTATTCATATATCCTTTGCTCATTTTTTGATTTTTTTTTCTTGTAAATTTGTTTAAGTTCTTTGTAGATTCTGGATATTAGCCCTTTGTCAGATGGATAGATTGCAAAAATTTTCTCCCATTCTGTAGGTTGCCTGTTCACTCTGATGGTGGTTTCTTTTGCTGTGCAGAAGCTCTCTAGTTTAATTAGATCCCATTTGTCAATTTTGGCTTTTGTCGCCATTGCTTTTGGTGTTTTAGTCATGAAGTCTTTGCCCATGCCTATGTCCTGAATTGTATTGCCTAGGTTTCCTTCTAGGGTTTTTATGGTTTAGGTCTTACATTTAAGTCTTTAATCCATTTTAATTTTTGTATAAGGTGTAGGGAAGGTGTCCAGTTTCAGTTTTCTGCATATGGCTAGCCAGTTTTCCCAACACCATTTATTAAATAGGGAATCCTCTCCCCATTGCTTGTTCTTATCAGGTTTGTCAAAATCAAATTGTTGTAGATGTGTGGCATTATTTCTGAGGCCACTGTTCTGTTACATTGGTCTATATATCTGTTTTGGTACCAGTACCATGCTATTTTTGTTATTGTAGCCTTGTAGTATAGTTTGAAGTCAGATAGCGTGATGCCTCTGGCTTTTCTTTTTGCTTAGGGTTGTCTTGGCTATATGGGCTCTTTTTTGGTTCCATATGAAATTTAAAGTAGTCACTGCTCATTAGAGAAATGCAAATCAAAAGCATAATGAAGTAACCATCTCATGCCAGTTAGAATGGTGATCATTAAAAAGTCAGGAAACAACAGATGCTGGAGAGGATGTAGAGAAATAGGAACGCTTTTACACTGTTGGTGGGAGTGTAAATTAGTTCAACCATTGTGGAAGACAGTGTGCCAATTCCTCAAGGATCTAGAACCAGAAATACCCTTTGACCCAGCAATCTCATTTCTGGGTATACGCTCAAAGGATTATAAATCATTCTACTATAAAGACACATGCACATGTATGTTTAGTGCAGCACTATTTACAATAGCAAAGACTTGGAACCAATCCAAATACCCATCAGTGATAGACTGGATAAAGAAAATCTGGCACATATACACCATGGAATACTATGAAGCCAACAAAAAAGGTTAGTTCACATCCTTTGCAGGGAAATGGATGAAGCTGGGAACCATCATTCTCAGCAAACTAACACAGGAACAGAAAACCAAACACCACATGTTCTCACTCATAAGTGGGAGTTGAACAATGAGAACCCATGTACACAGGGAGGGGAACATCAAACCCAGGGGCCTGTTGGGGAGTGGGGGGCCAGGGGAGGGCTAGCATTAGGACAAATACCGAATTAATGTGGGACTTAAGACCTACATGACAGGTTGATGGGTGTAGCAAACCACCATGGCACATGTATACCTATGTAACAAACCTGCACATTCTGCACATGTATCCCAGAACTTAAAGTATAATAATAAAAAAATTATAGGCCGGGTGCAGTGGCTCACACCTGTAACCCCAGCCCTTTGGGAGGCCGAGGCAGGAGGATCACGAGGTCAGGAGATCTAGACCATCCTGGCAAACACGATGAAACCCCGTCTCTACTAAAAATACAAAAAAAAAAAAAAAATTAGCCGGGCCGGCCGTGGTGGCGGGCGCCTGTAGTCCCGGCTACTTGGGAGGCTGAGGCAGGAGAATGGCGTGAACCCGGGAAGCGGAGCTTGCAGTGAGCCGAGATCACGCCACTGCACTCCAGCCTGGGCAACAGAGCGAGACTCCGTCTCAAAAAAATAAATAAATAAATAAATAAATAAAAATTAAAAAGAAATAGTGTAAAATAAATAATGGAGGATAATTGAATAAGTAAAATTTACCATTTAAGTCATTAGAGTCAATGTATATAAACTGAATTTTCCCATTAAGAGTCAAAGCCCAGCCGTAAGATGTTTTTTGAAATGTGTAAGAAATAAAAGTTAAAAATAAAGGTGTAAAGAAATACCTGGTAAATATGGCAAAAAAAAAAATCAATCCTAAACAAGATAAAATTTAAAGTAAAAACCACTAAATAGATTAAAAAGAGATACCATATAATGATAAGGGGTACAATATATATATTTTAATATGAACATTATAAAACCTCTAGGCACTAAAAAATAAAAAAATAGCAGCAAGCCATGTAGAGATAAAACTTTTGAAATTTGAGGAAACTATTTCTGACAAAATGATAAGTTAGACATTTTGATGAACTAGGAAACAACATACACAGAAGCCAAAAGCTAAGTGAACTTAAGAATTCAAAGAGATAAACAGAGCACAAAAATGCCTTTCACCCTGATAAAATTTGCTTCACTAGTGAACTTGAGCTTCTCAAACTGTTGGGAAATATGTTTAAGGACAGGAGATAAATTTTAGGACATATTTCCAGTGGAGAACCAAATAGATTTACCCATCTACAGATAAAAGTGAAATCCCATGGCTAAAAGTATAAGGGTAAACTGGAAATTTCAATGCACACACACACACAAACACTAGCTAAGAAAATCGCCTCTCTCAACAGCAGAGGGTAGATGGAAAAACAAAATATTTCATAGAAATTATTATCTATCTTCTAGTCTTTATAGGTTTTCAGCCCAAATTAACACTACCTAGATAGTATAAAAATAATTTGAAGCCAACAACTTTTATTGAATCTCTGCAAGTTGGTCACGCCCTGAGACCTAGGTGATATATTATCTTTGGAAATTACTTTTACAAGGAAAAATAAAGAATAATGACAACTACAGCAGCAAACACTTAAAACTTGCAAAAAAAAAAGTGCCACTAGTAAAGACAAACAGGAGCCACGAAAAATACAATAATATTCTTAATGACTTCAAATATTACAATTTTTTTAAATTATTATTATACTTTAAGTTTTAGGGTACATGTGCACAATGTGCAGGTTAGTTACATATGTATACATGTGCCATGCTGGTGTGCTGCACCCATTAACTCATCATTTAGCATTAGGTATATCTCCTAATGCTATCCCTCCCCCCTCCCTCCACCCCACCACAGTCCCCAGAGTGTGATGTTCCCCTTCCTGTGTCCATGTGTTCTCATTGTTCAATTCCCATCTATGAGTGAGAACATGCGGTGTTTGGTTTTTTGTTCTTGTGATAGTTTACTGAGAATGATGATTTCCAATTTCATCCATGTCCCTATAAAGGACATGAACTCATCATTTTTCATGGCTGCATAGTATTCCGTGGTGTATATGTGCCACATTTTCTTAATCCAGTCTATCATTGTTGGACATTTGGGTTGGTTCCAAGTCTTTGCTATTGTGAATAGTGCCACAATAAACATACGTGTGCATGTGTCTTTATAGCAGCATGATTTATAATCCTTTGGGTGTATACCCAGTAATGGGATGGCTGGGTCAAATGGTATTTCTAGTTCAAGATCCCTGAGGAATTGCCACACTGACTTCCACAATGGTTGAACTAGTTTACAGTCCCACCAACAGTGTAAAAGCGTTCCTATTTCTCCACATCCTCTCTAGCACCTGTTGTTTCCTGACTTTTTAATGATTGCCATTCTAACTGGTGTGAGATGGTGTCTCATTGTGGTTTTGATTTGCATTTCTCTGATGGCCAGTGATGATGAGCATTTTTTCATGTGTCTTTTGGCTGCATAAATGTCTTCTTTTGAGAAGTGTCTGTTCATATCCTTTGCCCACTTTTTGATGGGGTTCTTTGTTTTTTTCTTGTAAATTTGTTTGAGTTCATTGTAGATTCTGGATATTAGCCCTTTGTCAGATGAGTAGGTTGCGAAAATTTTCTCCCATTTTGTAGGGTGCCTGTTCACTCTGATGGTAGTTTCTTTTGCTGTGCAGAAGCTCTTTAGTTTAATGAGATCCCATTTGTCAATTTTGGCTTTTGTTGCCATTGCTTTTGGTGTTTTAGACATGAAGTCCTCAATTATCAAACACATAAAGTAGGTGTGCCTTATTATGTTTAAATTTTAATACACTGAGAAAATGAGTAAGAAGCAAGAGACTATTTTAAATGATCAATTAAATTTGAAAATAAATAGGTATTCTGGATAAAAATTTATTTATACATACACACAAACATACACATAAAGAAACATTATAGTAATATTATAGAATGAAAAAGACAAATAACCTTAAATTCAACAAAAAGTAATAAAAAAGCTGGGCATAGTGGCTCATGCCTTTAACACCAGCACTTTGGGAGGTCGAGGGGCGGATCACAAGGTCAGGAGTTTGAAACCAGCCTGGCCAATATGGTGAAACCCCGTCTCTACTAAAACTACAAAAATTGGCAGGGCATGGTGGCACGTGCCTGTAGTCCCAGCTACTTGGGAGGCTGAGGCAGGAGAATCACTTGAACTTGGGAGGTGGAGGTGGCAGTGACCTGAGATCGTGCCTCTGCACACCAGCCTGGGTGACAGTATATACCTCAAATACATAAGAAATAATTTTCAAAAGAAACAATGGAAAGCCATTGAATTGCATTTTTTAAATCGAGAACCAAATTAAAAAATAATCTCAAAAAAACAGTTTGTCACCAGTAGATCTTTACTAAAGAAAAACTTAAATGATAAATTTCTAGCTAGAAGAAAGGGATGCAGTTGCATAATCTAATATGCAAAAAACAGTGATGCTTAAAGAAAATAAATATGTAAGTAAATATAAACAAATATTGACTATACAGACAACAAAAACCTGTGGGACTAAAAAGAAGTAAAATGTAGAATTAAAATATATAAAAATAATAGAATAATAGGAAAAAAAGTGTTGCAAGCAGCAATGTTTTAAGGTCATTGTGTTGTTACACGAGTTAGGCATGCAAATTTTAAACCACAAGTAGAATAGTAATCCAGTGTACAACTTCCAAACTCTTGCACAGACTTAAGGTCTCTATTATCAAGTAAATACAATTATATTATGAAATTTTAGCTTACCTTTCTCAGTATTTCACAGAACAATTAGAAAAATTACCTCAGGATATAGATTAGAATAGTAAAATTAATAAGCAATATATTTTGAATATATATATAACACTGACCCCAACCACCATAGAATATACGTTGTTGCTAATCACAAGAAATATCCCTGAAAATTAACATTATCTGGGCTAAAAAGCAAACCTAATATCATACAGATCATGTTTTCTGACTAAAATGCAATTATATTAAAAAGCAAAAACCAAAAGGTAATTGTAATAAAATATATTGATGCAATTAAGAAATTCACTTTCAATAATATGTAAGTCATGAAAGATCAAGGAAGAAACTACAACAAAAAATATATTTAGAACTCAATAATAAGATGTTTACACAAAAACTTATTTGATGCAAATAAATTATTAATAGTAACTACAGGAAAACTTACACCCTTGAATGTTTACATTAGTAAAGATAAAATTTTAAAGTTACTTACCTATGCATTCCACTTGAGAAGGTAGAAAATAGCAGGACAAACTCAGATAAATTAAAAGGTAATAATTAATATCAGAATAGACAAGACTTCTTGAATATAAAGAACAAGGTATGTGTGTTGGGTTGGTGGGGGTGTGTTCTTCCAGGTACTAAGTTTTGTTAAAAACTATAGTAATGGCCTGGCGTGGTGGCTCATGTCTGTAATCCCAGCACTTTGGGAGGCTGAGGCGGCAGATCATGAGGTCAGAAGGTCGAGACTATCCTGGCTTACGTGGTGAAACCCCGTCTCTACTAAAAATACCATACCATTTGACCCAGCCATCCCATTACTGAGTATCTACCCAAAGGATTATAAATCATGCTGCTATAAAGACACATGCACACGTATGTTTATTGCAGCACTATTCACAATACCAAAGACTTGGAACCAACCCAAATGTCCATCAATGATAGACTGGATTCAGAAAATGTGTCACATATACACCATGGAATACTACGCAGCCATAAAAAAGGATGAGTTCATGTCCTTTGTAGGGACATGGATGAAGCTGGAAACCACCATTCTGAGCAAACTAACGCAAGGACAGAAAACCAGACACCACATGTTCTCATTCACAGGTGGGAACTGAACAATGAGAACACTTGGACACAGGGTGGGGAACATCACACACCAGGGCCTGTCATTGGGTGGGGGTAGGGAGGAGGGATAGCATTAGGAGATATACCTAATGTAAATGATGAGTTAACGGGTGCAGTACACCAACATGGCACATGTATACATATGTAACAAACCTGCAGGTTGTGCACATGTACCCTAGAACTTAAAGTATAATAAAAATAAATAAATAAACAACCAGGAAAAAAAAAGATTAGCCGGGCATGGTGGCAGGCTCCCGTAGTCTCAGCTACTGGGGAGGCTGAGGCAGGAGAATGACATGAACCCAGGAGGCAGAGCTTGTAGTGAGCCGAGATCACGCCACTGCACTCCAGCCTGGGTGACAGAGGGAGACTCCGTTTCCAAAAAAAAAAGAAAAAACAATAGTAACTCATTCTATGTAAGACACATAATTAAATATGCAGAGATAGAGTCAAGTTATTGAATTGGAACACTGTCTTGTAAATATTTCAATTCTGCCCCAATTTATCTATAGCTTCAATTCAATTCCAATCAAAATTACTTCAATTTTATTTTGTAAAATGTGACAAGCTGATTCTAAAATTTATATGGAAGAAAGAAATTTCTACAAAAAACCAAAACACACTTAAATAAGTAAAACAAGGTGAGAGGATTTTTGTTTCCAGAAATTAATTATTTTAAATCTGTAAGAATTAAAACAATGTGGCATTGACACATGGATTGAAAAATGATGCCAGTGAAACAAACTGCCTAGAGTACAAACAAACTCACACACAGAGAGAAACATGATTTATTGAAGAGTTGGCAGTAAAGATCAATGGGACAAGGATGAACAGTTTAACAAATTATGCAAGGGCAATTAGTTATCCACATGGGAAAAAGCAAACTTGTACCTCTCCATTATGCCGTATATAAAAATCAATTCCAAGTGGGTCTGACTTAAAAAATGAAAGAGAATAGTAATGCCTAGGTTTTCTTCTAGGGTTTTTATGGTTTTAGGTCTAACGTTTAAGTCTTTAATCCATCTTGAATTGATTTTTGTATAAGGTGTAAGGAAGGGTTCCAGTTTCAGCTTTCTACATATGGCTAGCCAGTTTTCCCAGCACCATTTATTAAATAGGGAATCCTTTCCCCATTGCTTGTTTTTCTCAGGTTTGTCAAAGATCAGATAGTTGTAGATACGCGGCGTTATTTCTGAGGGCTCTGTTCTATTCCATTGATCTATATCTCTGTTTTGATACCAGTACCATGCTGTTTTGGTTACTGTAGCCTTGTAGTATAGCTTGAAGTCAGGTAGCGTGATGCAGGCAAGGACTTCATGTCTAAAACACCAAAAGCAATGGCAACAAAAGCCAAAATTGACAAATGGGATCTAATTAAACTAAAGAGCTTCTTCACAGCAAAAGAAACTACCATCAGAGTGAACAAGCAACCCACAAAATGGGAGAAAATTTTCGCAACCTACTCATCTGACAAAGGGCTAATATCCAGAATCTACAATGATCTCAAACAAATTTACAAGAAAAAAACAAACAACCCCATCAAAAAGTGGGCGAAGGACATGAACAGACACTTCTCAAAAGAAGACATTTATGCAACCAAAAAACACATGAAAAAATGCTTACCATCACTGGCCATCAGAGAAATGCAAATCAAAACCACAATGAGATAACATCTCACACCAGTTAGAATGGCAATCATTAAAAAGTCAGGAAACAACAGGTGCTGGAGAGGATGTGGAGAAATAGGAACACTTTTACACTGTTGGTGGGACTGTAAACTAGTTCAACCATTGTGGAAGTCAGTGTGGCGATTCCTCAGGGATCTTGAACTAGAAATACCATTTGACCCAGCCATCCCATTACTGGGTATATACCCAAAGGACTATAAATCATGCTGCTATAAAGACACATGCACACGTATGTTTACTGCGGCACTATTCACAATAGCAAAGACTTGGAACCAACCCAAATGTCCAACAATGATAGACTGGATTAAGAAAATGTGGCACATATACACCATGGAATATTATGCAGCCATAAAAAATGATGAGTTCGTGTCCTTTGTAGGGACATGGATGAAATTGGAAATCATCATTCTCAGTAAACTATCACAAGAACAAAAAGCCAAACACCGCATATTCTCACCCATAGGTGGGAATTGAACAATGAGAACACATGGACACAGGAAGGGGAACATCACACTCTGGGGACTGTTTTGGGGTGGGGGGGGAAGGGATAGCACTGGACGATATACCTAATGCTGGATGACGAGTTAGTGGGTGCAGCGCACCAGCATGTCGCATGTATACATATGTAACTAACCTGCACATTGTGCACATGTACCCTAAAACTTAAAGTATAATAATAATATTAATAATAAATTTTAAAAATGAAAAAGAATAAGGCTATTTTAGCTGAGTATATAAGAAAATTTCCCTATGGTGTGAAGGTAGAGAAGGATTTCTTAAAACAAGGCACCAAAAATGTGTAACAATTTAAAAAAGATAAATGAGACAAAAATGCATTAAGAACTTTAACACCATAAAGAAAGTGGAAAGATAAGCCAAGAATGGAAGAAGATATATATACCAAAGATAAAGGATTACTATGCAGAATATTTTTAATTCCTGTAAGTCAGTAAGAATATTACAAAAGGAACTATGGAAAACTACACAAAACACAGATATTTCTCAGAAGTAGAAATTAATGGCCAGTAAATGTATGAAAATGTGTTTATTATTAATTAGGGAAATACAAAATGAAACCACAATGAGATACTGTTTTTCACCTGCTTTCTTGAAACGTCAAGACACCAGGCATAGTTCTAGCCAGCGACATAATAGGTAGTTACAAAAATGTTTAAACATATAATTAATGCATTACTTGGACATAAACTCTTTCATGAAGGTAAGATTCTTCTCCAGCCTAATTTTGACTTCCATTTTCTTACCTTATGATCCTACCCTAACACATCCTCAGGCGCCCTCCACAGAAGGAAGAGAGAAAATTGCAGTGGGAGCCAAAAGACCTGGATTCCAGTCTCATCGCTGTCACAAATGGAAAGATTTCAGTCAAATCCCATAAGATCTTTGGGTTTTAATTCCCATTTATGAAGTGAGAAGAGCTAGGTTTTACCTCAGAAATTTTAAATTGGCATCTCTTGAAACCTGAAAATATGCTTTGTTTGGCATGCACCATGCCTTTCTCAATGTTTCCAATGTAAATGTCAATGCCTGGAGATTGCATGCTCTGACACTTCACAGTCTCCCTCACACCATACTGTGCTACATCCTAACTGCTTAATTGATATAATTACCCACCTTCCATGGAAACAGTGGTGGTGACTTCTGTTAGACAGTATCTGAACTTCCTTTCTGAAGCTCAAAACACATGTACAGCAGGCTTATATCCAAAAATGTACTTACTTAAAGTGCATAAGGCAAAGTAGCATGTTCAGTTCACATACATGTTTCACCCTGAGGGTACAGTTTCATTTAGCTTTCCTATGGAGGGGTTGTTTGTACTAGATGGTTCTCTAGCGTGCTCACTCAGCACACCTGCTTACTTATCGGTACCTTCACAGTGTCGCCACATTCATGATCTGTCTCCACTCCATCCTATTTGATTCACCAGAATAGAAAGTTTATCTTGTTGATGCTATTGTTACGTAGCTAGCAATAGGCATCAATAAATATTAATTACATAGAATCAATAAATATTAATTGAACACAAAATTGTATAGACAAAGGAAGGAAAATGATTTAGCTCCAATTTAGTATGTATCTAGCACAGGGGTCAGGAAACTTTTTTGTAAAGGACCAGAAAGTAAATATTTTCAGCTTTGTGGGCTATGCATTCTCTGCTGCAATTATTCGATTCTACTGTTGTAGTGTATAAAGAATTGACCCACACAACTGTGGGGGCTGGCAAGTCTAAAATCCATAGGGTAAGTCAGCAGGCCAGAAACTCAGGTAGTTAATGCTATAGTCTGAAGGCAGAATTTTTTTTTTCCAGAAAACCTCAGCTTTTCTTATTAAGGCCTTTGACTTATTGAATGAGTTCCACCCACATTAATGAGGATAATCTCCTTTACTTAAAGTAAATTCATTGCAGATGTTAACCATATCTACAAAACACCTTCACGGCAACACCTAGGTTGGTGTTTGATTAAATAACTGAGTACTATAGTGTAGCACAGTGGACACATGAAGCTGATTATTTCATAGTGTCAAGCAGCCATGGGCAATATGTAAATGAATGAACATGGCTGTTTTCCAATGTTACTTAATTCGAATTTCATATACTTTTCATAAAGCACAAAACGTTATTCTTCTTTTGATTTTTTTTCCCAAACATCCCAAAATATAAAAACTATTCTTAGCTCATGGGTGGGGCATGCAAAACCAGATGGTGGGCCATATTTGGCCCAGTGGCCATTGTTTGCTCACTCCTGCTTCAGCATGGCATTATGCATGTTTTATTTATAGACATTATAAATGTATTATGCTTACTTATATATAATTTTTTTACACATATACATATATAGAACTTTTAACTGGTGCTGATGACAGCTATTCTCAAAACAGGGCTCAAAAGTAATTTAAGTTATTGTGGTTCTGATAGTGGGAAAGTGATAAGGGAAACTGTAAACATTCAGTTTTAGAGTTTTTCAATGATATTACACATTATTATTATCTAACAATGATTTTTTGTAATGTTCTCTGAGGAAAGAAGTATGAAAAAGAATATCTATCAAGGTATTTCTAGGTCTTTAATTCTAGACAGTAGTGGTCAGCAGTAAAAAGATGATGAAATATCTTGATAAAAGGGAGGTGGAATGTAACACTTTCCTAATATAGAAACCACCCCTTTTCCTACTAACTAATCCTCAACACTAGCTTCTGAACATGTGTACATGTGCACGCATACACGTTCATTTATTCTATATTACATGCATAACTAAAGTTATTACTATATGTCAGGCTTTTAATCAAGCACTGGTGATTTAAAGGTCAATAAGACAGGTTTCTTTAAGAGTTCGCAGGATAGGGCAAGAAGAAAAATTGTTGGGTATCCACCATTTGTCAGTCATGTCAGCTAAATTATCCGATTTAATGCCCAAAACAACTCAAGGTGGAGTTGCCAGATAAGAATACAAGACCAATTAAATTTGAATCTCACATGAACAGCAAATCACTTTTTAGCATAATATATCCCATGCAATATTTGGGATATATTTTTACTAAAAAGCGATTGAGACATACATATGTTAAAAAATTATCTGAAATTCACACTTGTATTTTTATTTGCTAAATATTGCAACCCTAGTTCAATGAGATGTAGGCCTTATTGAACCCAGTTTATCTCTGTGTAAAAAGATGATCAGAACTATTAGTTTTTTAAGTTCATAAATCTGGAATTCCATGCAAATTTTCTTTGAGCTAAAACCAGATAGGGAGACAAAATATAAAGAAATTGAGTACCACTGAGGTATGTTGGCAAGGTAAAAAGGATGAGATTAATTTCATCTGTGGAACTTTATATGGTGAAATGTTTAAGTGAAGACTGAAAAGCGATGAAATGTAAGTAAAAATAAGTAAAATAAGAGAAAACAAATTTGGACTACTTAAATGATTGTTCCATCTAAAAACAATAATCACTTTTTCAAAATTCTCTTTGCAGTTAATATTACCATCTCAACTCATTACTTTGTATGTTACAGAAATATTTTCAGTAATCACATTTTCTTGCTGTTTTCAGAATACACAAATAATTTTGAAGATGCTAACTCCAGTTAACATTAAAAAGTTCAAAATTTATTATAATTTGTAAAGAAATCTTATATTAAACACAAAGAGCCAGTGAAATTTAAAAAAAAAATCTGTCTAATTACTTTCTCATAAGGAGTTAATGGTAGATCAAAGGAAGAAAGCTAAAGAAGCTAAAAGAGTTATTTCACATATGCAGTTCTTAATGAAACAATATCTATTGCTTCCTGGTTTCTCCTCTCTAAATGATAAAGAAAATTATAGCTGACAGCTGAATTCTGATTACATGCAATGTGTGATTATTTCTTACTATTCTGTTGGGTAGGTAGAAAAGATTCTTCATTCCTCCAAACTGTATAGCTGGACATTAATATAAACCTCTGCTAAAACTGTTATAAATTTTTTTTATTTATTTAATAATTGCTATTTTCTTTTTTCCTTGTATTTAACCATTTAGTAATTTGAAGTTTGTATTTCAAATGTTTTCCAACACAAAGAAATACGTTAAATCTCACCAGTAACCACCATGATTTCTCTAGAATAGATACAATTTAATTTTGGCATAGTAACTTAAGAATTAAGCTGTTTTTATTATCTTTTTATTTCTTGTGACATCATTAGAAGGTTTAAAGGGAAGAGATTTGAGAAAAGAGATGCTTCACTGTGAGACTTCTATATACCACAGATGAGACAGAAACAAGACACAAAGTAGGAATAAAAATTTTAAAGATAAGAAGGGAGATAAAAAGCACCAAGTACAAATGCACACTTTGATCCAAAAATGTAAAACTTGGGGAAGAGGAAGCTAACAAGGCGTGGCAAAAAATATCTCCATATCTAGACAGAGTTTAGTCAGTTGGTTCATCTACAGACCAGATTTTCTTTAAATTATCACAGAGTTGCATAATTTCAGAGGGGAAAAAAAACTATGCATTTGTCAGCCTCATTTGCTAACTTACTCTGAAGTGTCATGAAAAGAAGTGTGTGTGCTCCCCAAGTGCGTCGGAGCGGGGATAAGAAAACAGTACAACTAAGTACTCTGTATGGAAAGCGGTCGCTTATTATCCATCTTCATACATGTAGTCACTTTTACTAATCAGTTTTAAAACATAACTCAGGTTACAAGTGCGCGTATTTAAAACATAGCCACAACTGAACTGAAAGAGTCCTTTTTGCCACTTCAGTTTCGTTCCTCTGAGAGAACCAACACCTAATAAGGGATAGAGGGAAAAATTGCTCTACCTCTGTCTAGACAGCTTTGCTTCTGTTTAGTTGCTTTCACTCCAGGAGAGAAGGATGTCAAATTTGTTTCTGTTTACAAGATGCCTCAAGTGATTTCCTAGTACAAGTCTTAGTCCTGGTGATATTCTTTTAAGGGGTCCAAAAAGTACAAAACAAAGAAAAAGGAAGATGCATAGAAAGTGTTATCTGAAAACATGAATTAGGTGCTAGAGGCTGAATTATACTCTTACTTAGCACAAAAGTTTTAAACATCTGCTCTGATAATAAATTCATTAAAATTTATTCAAAATGTTTTAATCTTCTTAATGTAACAAAGAAGTTGCAACATAATTCCCCCAGTTATTGTATATTGCATTTGGCTCCCACATTACTTTCTTTAAACATGATTTTGATTGCCTTCCAAAATCAGAACCGTGTGTGTGTGTGTGTGTGTGTGTGTGTGTGTGTGTAAAACACACATATAAGCCTGTATACCCACAATCATCTAGGTTTCTGGCCTTTCCTGAAAAGTTACAAAATCAGAAACCTTAGATGCACATTCACAAGTGACAGCCTTTGGTGGGACCTGAGGAGTCGCTGCCCTGTACAAGGGCCTTGTGTGCTCTTCTTCGTAATAACCCAACATCTACTTTGCTTTACTCACTTAAGTAACCTTCCTGGGCCTGAGAAGTATGTGAGTATTTTAGCCTGATGGTTATTACCTGAAATCACAATGATGCTTTTTAGCCCGGCGTTGTGAAAAGAGCCTTAGATGAGTCTAGGGCCAGCTCTATCAATTTTTTAACTTTTACATCTAAAACAAAAATGGTATGACTATCAACTTTCCACATATAGTAAGGATTAGACAATATGTGTATTAAGTGAATAGCACATCTGGAAGTAGCTCTCTGACACGTAGTTGTTTGGACAAAGATGATGACAATTATTTTCATAAGGTTGGCAATCTGATATTGACCATAAAGTCTCTCAAGCTTTGAAAATCACAGTTTTTTTCCACGGAAAAGGAAAATGAATGTCATCACAACAGAGCCGTTTGGCACTAAACATCTCCAATATAGGATATTAGACCTGCTCTTTTTGATTTTAGATTTCTATAAACTTCCAAGTCTTCACATTGTTTTTAAAGCAGGTTCATAGTAGGCAGTAGCCTTTCCGTGTCTACATAAAACTCAGCTAAAATAAAGTATAATTAATTTGTCATTCACTGATTACAGAAAAGGCAGATGGACTAAGAATTTGATGTGAGGTTCTGAGATTTTCAAGAATATGACTTGTCACTTAGAGGAGAATTACATGTTTAAATAAAACAGGATGGAAAAAATAATCAAGTGAATACAGTATTTTTCTTTCTGATAAAGCTTTTTTATTCAGTTAATGATAGTCAATATGTAGCTGACTGTGGGTTAGAAGTGAAATTACTTTCAGAACATTAAAAAATGTCTTCCTGTATTGGTGGACAATGATTTAAAATATGTGGTTGTTTTAGTCCATTTGACTGCTATGACATATTTATTATTTATTTATTTCTCACATTTGGGGAGCCCGACAAGTTCAAGAGCAAGGTACTGGCAGATTTGGTGTCTAGTGAAGGCCTACTATCTGACTTATGTATGATGGCTTCTCACTGACCTCACATGGTGGAAGTGGCTAGCTAGCTCTCTACAGCCTCTTTTATAAGGGCACAGACCTCATTCATGAAGACTCCACCCTCATAATCTAATCACCTCCCAGATACCCCACTTTCTAATGTCATTGTGCTGATGATTAGATTTTCAGCATATGGATTTGGGAGAAAAAAAACATTCAGACCATAGCAATGTTATTTACATAAACAAATAGCATTGAACATGAATAAAGACTTACTGATGGACATAAATCTTATATTTAAAAACAAAAAATAAAATTCTTATTCTTTTTAATCAGATTTATGAAATCAATTCAGATTTCAAAACTGATTTGTGAAATCAATTTACATTTGTGAAATCAGAACAAGGAGCAAAAGGCAAATTTTCTATTTCCTAGAAATGATTTTCAGTGACTTTTCATAGTTTAGCTACTTCTCTTCAAGTAGTTTCAAGTGTTAGCCTTCCAGAAGAGAAAAAGTGTAAGATGCCAGTAGTTCAAATGCATTTTTTTTTTTTGCATAATGGTGACTTTTTATTAAAATACAGTTCAAAGAACGCAGAAAGCGAAGTGGCTTTATGGAGGAGCTCAGAGCTTTTTCTTACTTACAGAAGTGAAGTGGGTATTTAACATGCTAGCCTTTTGCTAACCTCAATGGATGGTATACCTACTTTACTTTTGAAAAAGAAGAAAACTTTAAAATGATAACATTTTATTATCAGGCAGAAGGCACATGGTTAGGTAGCTTTTTTGATCAAATAACTAGAAGATTCATTCACTCATGTAGTATTTAATCAAGTCTCCATAACATACAAGGCACTTTGGTATATACTGGTGAGAAACACAGACGAGACACTTGCCCACATGTGGCTTATATTCTAACACAAGAGACAGGCACTAAGGAGTCAATGGCAAAACGACCCAATGGTGATAATTGCCATGGAAGACAATAAAGCTGGGTGATGAGAGAGGCCAGGACCAGGACAAACGGGAGGGACACAGTGAGAAGATTTTTATTTTAAATGAGGCGCTCAGGGTCACTTCCTATCACAACTATGCACTGAAATAAAAGCTCTGATCTAAGATGGGAGTATTTTGCTTACAACTAACATGTATAAAGCTCAAGAAATTGAAATTTAAAATTGCGTTACAAAATTTTTTAAAAAAAGAAAAGAAGTGTTTTCTCATAAAATAAAGGGAGATAAAATCCTACAGGTGAAATTCAAGAGAGGAGACCTGCCATAAAAAGGGAAAATTTTAGGAAATCAGACATTTGAAGGCTGTAAAATTTTATTAATTTTGATGTCCCACCACTGTTTCAATCAATCCATATGAAATAATTTTGGAAAACAAGGTGAAAACTTTGCATTTCCCTTTAGTTAAGAAAGAAGTGTTTTTTATAGCTTTTACATTTAAAAGTTTTAAATATTAGAAATTATACTAGCCTGTATAATCTGAGTTTATAAGTCATGTTTCACAACCAAACTTCTAGATTTTTATTACAAACTTTGTTTCTTCAGCTGAATTGTCTGCTAATATTTATTGAACAGTATTGAATGTCCTCAATTCTTCATTTATCCATTCAAATACAAATACTTTTTGACTGCCTGACATGCCATGTCCTGTGTTAAGTGCCAGGAATACAGTGGTAAATGAGGTAAAGTCCTCACCTTACAGAATGTTCACTCTACTACTTGGACAGGCTGATAGAGAAGGGCACACACATGAGTAGGGCACTAATCTAGCTGGAGGATCAGATCTGTATTAGTCCATTCTCATGCTGCTAATAAAGACATACTTGAGACTGGGTAATTTATAAAGGAAAGAGGTTCAATTAACTCACAGTTCCGCATGTGTGGGGAGGCCTCAGGAAACTTACAATCATAGTGGAAGGGGAAGCAAACATGTCCTTCTTCACATCGTGGCAGGAGGGAGAAGAATGAATGCCCAGAGAAGAGGGAAGCCCCTTATAAAACCATCGGATCTTGTGAGAACTCACTCACTATCACAGAGAACAAGTTGGGGGAAACCACCCCCATGATTCAGTTATCTCTACCTGGTCGTTCCCGTGACATGTTGGGATTATGGGAACTACAATTCAAGGTGAGATTTGGGTGGGGACACAGAGCCAAACCATATCAAGATCCCTGCAAAAGTGCTGTGTCAGCCAAGGCCCAAAAGATGCCTGAGGGGCAGCCAGGCGACAGGAAAGAGGGTAGACAGGAGTAGGGTGGAAGGCAGGCACAGGAAAGTGTGTACCAGTTGGTGGCACAGCTGGTATGAAATCTCAGGAGCAGAGTGAGTAGAAAGAAGTGAATTCAGAATGGCAGGAACTTAGAGTGGAAGAGCTGAAGCTGAAGAGGTAGACAGCAACCCGATGAGATGTTTGTCTTTTTCCTTGAGGTTAAGAGGAAGCTCGTGATGCATTAAGAGAAGCAGGACACGATCACTGATGGTAGTGGATTACTGAGGTAGCAGAGACATGATAAATGACTTTCATTCTAAAATGAGCAAAATAACGATATGTTTATATGCTGATGAAAATGATACAGTAGAAACAACAACTTGATATGAAAAAATGAAAAGAGAATGGAGGAGTAATGCCCTTGAGTATGTTGGGGCAATGGACTCTAACACCTCTCCCCATGTGTTGGCCTCCCAGAGGAACACAGACTCCTCACCTCTGGTATTTAGTTGTGTGACTCGTGGGAATTCTTAGAGCTATTCTTTTCTTAATAAAAAGGAAGGCAATATAATTTTGAGGAAAGAAAAGGCAAAAACTAGCCATCTGGGTGATTGTAAATGAATGAGTTGGGGAAATAGTGTGATTGTAGGACAGATTCCATATGATGATTTCACATATGGATAAAAGTTTAAAAGTAGTCTTAATAAAAACAGGAAATTGCTGTATGTCTAAAGCAAAACAGATACAATTAGAAACATTTTAAAGAAAAGCAATTTTTTTATTTCACACTATAATTCTGCATGGTTTTTTATATTAAGATTCAATTAGTGTATTAGTGAAAATGAATATTTAATACTGAAGGACATAGTGAGTCTTCCTCAATGAGTGAGTGAAACAATGATTGAATGACACCTGTAAATACAATCATAAATAGAAATGGACAGACAAAAATTAAATTCTGCCAAATCCGAGATAACATCATAGAAGTCCTTTACCTTTTTCAACTGATTGATAATATTTCGAACAAAAATGAATTGCTTGCAAAAGCTGTGACCTATTTAGCAGCTAATTTTCTAACCCTTAGAAAAATCTTCCATTTAAAGTAAGTTGAATATTACAATCTTTGCAGAAGTGACAAGTAATTGCTTTTTTAATCCTGTCTATGGCATTTTTGAGATAAAAAACACGTTTTTTAGTGGACTGGGATGCTACCATTTATTCTGTTGGTGGTAACTTTCTGATAATTAAGTAATCTAATGAAATGTTATGTGTCTCCTAAGGCCCTGTGAAAATTCAATGTGTCTCTTGTTTTCAAAGGTGATTCATTTGCATTACTCCACCAGAAATGTAATAAAGAAAAGTTAATATTCATTGTGTGTTTATAAATAATAATTGCAGTTACTGTAGTTTTGAAAACCAAAAATAGAAAATTTTGGACTTTGTTACAGGGATTTTTGATTGGCATGAGTGAATATATTCAGGACAAAACATTTTTAATAATGAATAATCATTATAGAGCATATAATCTGCTTTTATTTTTATTAAATAGTGTATTAAAAGAGTCTTTACCTGAAGGAATTCTTTATTGCAATTTAATGATTTAATAATAAAATTTATACAAGCAGACCATTGCTTTTAATCTAAAATCTTTAATGTCCAGTGGAGGATGTTGTCTGTATCATAGAGTACAGTCTTTGATTATGGTCAATTTACCATGTTATAAGGCATTACTCTATATTTTGTCAGTGTTTTCTTTTTTCTTCACTTGTTTTATATGTTATTCCTTGTCTCCTTCAAAAGATTATATAGTTTCTAAAGCAGGAGCAGAAAACCAAATACAGCATGTTCTCACTTTCAAGTAGTAGCTAAACATTGGGTACACATGGACACGAAGGTGGAAACAATAGACACTGGGGACTCCATAAGTGGAGAGGCAGAGTGGGGCAAGGGCTGAAAAACTATCAGGTACTGTGCTCTCTACCTGGGCAATGGGATCAGTTGCACCCCAAACCTCAGCATCACTCAATATGCCAATGTGACAAACCTGCATATGTATCCTCAAATCTAAAATAAATCTTGAAATAAAAGCAAAAGATTACATAGCCCATTAGGACAAAGATCTTTTTTTGGAATCTTTTCTGATACCTGTAATACCCAACTCAATGTTACATTTGCAGTAAATACTTGTAGAGTTCACTTATTAAGATGAGGTTTGTGCATGTTCTCATTGATAAGCCAGAGCTAAACACTGGGTAAACATAGACATAAAGATGGCAACAACAGACCCTGGGGCCTACCAAAGGGAAGAGAATGGGAGGGGGTATGGGTTGAAAAACTTCCTATTGGGTAGTATGCTCACTACTGAGGTGTTGAGATCATTCATACCCCAAACCTCAGTGATATGCAGTTTACCCATGTAACAAACCTGCACATCCACAAGCCTAAATAAAAGTCAAAAAAAGAAAATGAGGTTTAAACCTAATTTATTGACCTATTTTTGGTCGGTAGTAGGTGTTAGAACTATGACCATTTGTGAATAAAGTAATAACTTTGGCTTTAGGTGTTTAATACAATGGAGGATTACACATGTATGAAACACAAGCATTCTTGACAAGTTGCCTGCAAAGTATAAAACTTTATTTTAAACTCTGGGATATCTTGTCTTTTGGGGAAAGGGAGTGGGAATTTAAATGTGCCAGTTTGTTGTTGACAAGGAAAAATATTAATCCAGTTATGTTTTCCAACTGATAGTATTCTCAGTATTTTAATATATCAAAAGTGTTATTAATAGAAAAACCTTGAACTGCTTTAGATCTATCCAAACCCATTTCATTTCTCCCCAGTACTTTATCCAATACTTTTATTCATTCATTTTGTTTTATCTCAAACCTCAGATCTGATAACGTCTTCCTAATGTGTTATCTGTATACAATTTGGAAAATGATTTTCCTCTCTCCACTTTCCACTTCATTCATATATTTATCAATTATACCTTGAGCTCCCTCTTTGAATATGCTTAATTCACTGTCTGTAATGTGCAAAGTAGACAAAAATCCTAGCTCTCATATAGACTTTATTTTCATCTGTTCTTAATGCCTTAAGAATCAGCTCCTAAGTTCAGTACCAATTTCTGTCTGAAACACAAGCCAAAGTGTAAATGAAGTGTATAGGAATAAGAAATGGGTCACTAATAACAATTAGCACCCTGAAAGAATAGAATTTAAGATTTTATAACAATTCACTTGGCACCAAGGATATTTTATAAACTCTGAAATGTGTCTTTTCTTTCATTTGATTAGTCATTAATTCAACATTTTTGGAATACCTACTAAGTGCCAGGCCTCTTACTGTGCTTGATTACATGTAATATTGAAGCCGTGTGAATATCAATCTGGAATTTCATGAGAAGTAATAAGCTCACGGTTTTATATCTTAAGTTTCATCACACAGTTGATATTTTACTTATTTCAAAAACTCTGAAAGTTACTTTGGTGGTTTATACTGTGATTTAAAATTGGCATTTTAGGTCTTTTTTAAAAACTTAATTTCTTGAGTCTCATGCTCTGTCAGTTTTAGTGTGGAATTAGCCCAAGGTAGTTTTATAGCAATAAGGGATGTCTTATTGAAGAAGCCTGCAAGTACTTTATCTTCTATTCTTATATTTGCTACTCCAAAACAATTGAAAAAGTAGAAACTGTACCCAAAGGAACTAGCTCTCAAGTATTATCTGAAACTATTTGGACATACATTCTTTAGTTTTTAAATAAAATAATATGCATTCCATTCTTGCACTAGAAAAATTATTGGGTTGGTTTTAAAATGAATCAATATAGTGTTCCGGAGGCTTTGGATTGCTTTTTCATGCCAAGGAGATGTCTAGTAATTCTAAAAGCTGACTATTACAAGTTTATTGCCACACTATGAGTACAATTTCAAATTACAAGGCAAGCAGAAAAGTAAGAAAAAAAAGCCAACATTCTTGCCTACAGAGGCAATTGTGGACTTGCTTGGAGGCCAAACTTGGTTTATAAATTTAGGTCTCCTGGTAATAGTGATTTAATATTATTGTAAGAATATGAGCAAATAACTACCAGTGTCAGGAGTAAGGGATTATATATTATTTATATGACTTTTTTATTATTGGTGCTTTTATTTCACTGCGTTTAAAGTGCTTTTTAAATATCCTCCTGGCAATGCTAAAAAATCCTTTGTTTGTCATGTCAATTTCCTCCTTCAGAGGAGGAAAGTGAATTCATAGTGTATTATGGGCCAAAGGTCACATCTCTCTGATTCCTACTAAGAGTAAGGAGATGATGCTCAGGCACAGTGCTAAAGTCTATCATCCCCCGCTTTTCCATCTGTAGAGTTAAGCATGTAGGCTTTAGCCATGATATATGTAAACTCATTGATGTGATTTGCTATGTAATGATTGATCACCATGTATTTAAGCAACCCAAACTAATTCCACTCATGTAGAAAATTACAGAGTCAGAGCAATTTAGATAATACAAGGACTCTGTTGTCTTCATATAACTAAACCAAGGAAAGGGCCTGGTACAGTTAAATTCAAAGATGATTAGCTCCAGAGCTGCAAATATCATCAAAATGCCTTTTTATTGAAGATCCCTAATTTTGTTTTTATTTTCCAGTTCACTTCTTTTATCTAGGTAGATAGCAATGCAACTGGAAAACTAAATTAGATGGGCTTTCTAGTAAAACATACATCCACATTCACACCAGAATAACTCAGAAAAATTTAACAGATGGAAAACTAATAACCTGTATCGCTTCTTTCATAGCACTGGTTTTTATTCCAAGGAAGAAAAAAACAAACCTAGGGAAGAATACTGATTGGCTAGGTTTGAGTCACATGCTTACTGCCATTGGCCAATGATTCTGCTACTTCAATTAACCAGCCAAATAACAGCCATATTGGACCAAGGGTTGGAGTAAATGGAATATGCTAAAAGGAGAACTGAGTAGTCCCCTAAAGATGTGAGAGTTTAATGTCGCCCCCAAAAGGGGAAAACCTTCTGGACAGATAAAACATAGACAATCACTGAAATTATGAAGTGGAACTTCTGACCACTAAAGACTCTTTAATTGCATCTAAAGTATCAGAGAAATCAAGTTATGCCCGAGAGAAAAAAAACAAAGTATGGAAAATTAAATAGACATAACAAGTGTGAATCATGGTAGATGAAGCCACACAGGGCTCTTACAGCACCTCTCATAGCAGTATTTCATAAACATAAGCCTCAGTAAACATTATTTGATGAGGATAACCAAAAATTATCTAGGTGATTAGCAATGCAATCACCAAACTAAATTAAACGGACTTCCTAGAAAAATATGTCATGCATATTCATATGAAATTAATTAATTCAAGGGATTAATGACATTTCAAAAAGGGAGAACTAATTAGAAGAATAATTTAAAATATAATCTATTAACACTGATTAGCTTTACAATAGTTTACAGAGGAAGACTGAAGAAAGGAAATCAAATAGTACAAGATATGGTGAAAATCACCTAATAAAATATATATATATATACAGTGTGTGAAATTGTCTCATTTAAAAGAAATTAACTTGCTTTCTGAAAATGAATAGAAAATAAAAAACACAGAAAGAAAATAAGGAGAAAAAGGAGAAAAAAATGGATGTTTTCAGGAAGTCAATAATTTCTATTAACTGTCATATATGTATTAATTATAGTTGTTATAGAGTAACTTTGATAATTATGAACAAAATATAAAGTTTTGCTTTACTTCCAGGGATAAAATTACCAAATGATGTAAATTATGAATAATTTATAGTAAATTATTTGTAAAATCCATTCTTCATAACTTATGTTTTCAATTAAAATATCATTGATAGCAACAACAACAAATAATAAAGGAGGGAGAATTTTCAAAATAATATTACATCTTTTAATATCAGATTTTGAGAAATTTTATTTTAAACTCAACTTTGTCATAAAGTCAAATGGAAACTAGACTAAAAGCCTAAGGTCATTTATTTAATCTTTTTCAATAACGGTCCTTAAAGTTTAAATTTCTTTATATATGAAGACATAACAGAGAACCTCAAACAATTTGAAAGCACTTCAAAAACTGAACAACAAATTAGTTATCAGAAACAAATTGACTTTGAGAGATATTTCCTTAAGAAAAATTAGCATCATATTTAAAGGCACCGACATCCTCAGCTAGAGAATTTAGAAGTTTTTTTTCCATGGTAAAATCCACATTTCAAAAATTTGAATGAAAAAGGATTTTTTTCATGTTTCTCCAAAATAAAAATGACTGAATCAGATTCCAAATTTCAAAAGAAACTTCACGCGTATTTGGTACATACACAAACACACACACACACACACACACACACAATCGTGATATGTTAAAATTTATTCTGCTATGCAAATGGTGTCTTGATATCAAAAAGTTTACAATCAAATTTTTTTTATCTTAAAGAATCATAAAACTATTCGAAATTAGTTGGAATACTCGAATTGCCTTTTTTCTGGCCTTTCTGCTCCCACCTGTTACTTCTTCTTGTGTCTTCTCCAGAGAGAAGCCAAAATCCAATATATATAATTTGTATAATGCTTTTTGGCTCTAAGCCCTGCTGGGGTTCTCCTTTGATTCAGAGTAAAAAATGAAATATTTGCACAGTCCTCTAAGCCCCTGACTTACCTGGTCTTCCCTTTCTGATTCCATTCCTCCCATCCCCACTGGACCATATGGACCCTGCCACACTTGCTTCCTACTGATTTGCCAGCAACAAGGGACTGTGTGCCATCTGCCTTTACTCTAATGTCACCTTCTCAGTGAGGCCAACCCTTACCATCATGTTTAAAATTGAATCCCACCACCCAAACATTCCTTATCCTCTCTTACCTGCTCAATTGTTCCCATAGCACTTATCTTCTACTATGGGATATAAGTTATTCATTATGTTTTTCTTTATTGTCTTATCCCTCTGCCAGAATGCAACCTCCAAAAAAGCAAGAATATCTGTCTGTTTTGTTCCTGATATATACCCCATTTTAGGTCCTCTTAGTTTTAGGTCATCTGGAGATAAGGTCTCTAGGGATATTGGCTCTTATTCTAGCCACAGTTGCCGTTGGGGTGACCGAGATTGCGTGACAAACTTCACAGGGCATGACCGGACAATGCCTTACCTCATGCCCATCCTGTGCTGGTCTTACCTACTATTCCCTGGGCTTCCCCACTGAAGCTGATCTGGTGAGATGCCCCAGTGTTCTTTATGCCCTGGCATGTGCAATTCAGAAATGTAGGGAAACTAACAGTCTCACCACAAAGAGACAGAAGCCAGTGAATGAATTACCTCCCCTTATCAGACTATCTGGAGAAGTAATAATTTACGTACGCTCTCACGAAGCAGTTGGGCAAAATGAAGCAATAATTTATCCTTGACACTCAGCGGTAGCCAGATTATGCATCCCTGCGTTGGTTTTCTCTCCTTTCCTTCTTTACTACTATCTTCCCTCACTTCTGCTCCCTGGGATTAAACTTCCTGAAAGGGATAGAAGCACACTAGCTTTTGTCTGAGGCTTTGCTTTCTGGAGAACCTAGGTTAGGACAGGAGATATTAAATAACTATTTATTTATTGAATAAATCAATGTAAATTAATAATATCAAATAGAGGCATAGAAATATTGAGTGAGTTACATTTATGCCAGTATACATACCCAAGGAATCAGATATTATTAAAGCCTAAAGAGAAGATACTTATTCAGGAATAAATTTATAACAAGAAAACATAAATGCAAAATATGCTCTAAATTTGTTTCTTTACATATGGCAAGGAAAGAAACCTTAAAGATTCAGTGTAAAACATCAAAAAGCCCTCAGTAACTTATATGCAGTATTTTTGTGATGGGTATTTCTAACAACCTTGCAAAGATTACCTTCTTTAGTCTACTAGTTTTAGAAAAAAAACTCTTGAAATCCAACATGAGTTCTTATTAACTCATGATTATGTGATTTGTATATCCACCAGATATTTTACCATTTTTTCTTAAGTGGTTTTATCCATCTAAACAAATATGATCAAGACATGAATTGAGATAATAGAATAAATTATTACATGCATTTTAGTGAGGTATTATCTTCATTTTAATTTAGGATGAAAGTCTTTTACACTAAATAATTGACTAAGATTTGTAAAACATATGTCCTATGAGACATATCTCATTATCTTCAATATCTTTACATTTATGTTGTATACATTACCCTAATTGTTTCACAGAGTAAATGCCCTCATTATAAAAATGATTATAATATTTTAGTATAGGGTTAACCTTAACATATGAATAAAATGATTTTCTATCTATGTAACTTTAAATTGTTAATTTTAGAGCTTTAGATTTAAAATGTTAATAAAGATCTTTGGTGATGATAAAAAGATTATAACATTACATCTTGCAATTTAAGTATTACTATTATAAGTAACATTCCCCAAAGTAATACGATTGTGATATTTAACAAAAATATTTATTCAACAAGCAAATGAGCAATTGGAAAGAAATATAGTCCTCTAAATTACATTTCACTTCTAGCATATGCCTAGAAATTAAGCAAAAATATACAAGAAATTCACCTACATCTTTAAGAAATTAAAAACTATGATCCTTAGATTTTTTTCACTTTCAGTTGAAAAATGAGACTTTGCTCTTATTGGCCAGATATTTTATTTAAAGACATATGAACTTATTGATAAGGATAAATAAAAATAGATAGATTTGACTATTTTAGATGCCCCATGTAAGTGGAATCATGCAATATTTGTCCTGTGACTGGCTTATCTCACTTAGCATATAGTCCTCCAGGTTCACCCATGTTGTCACATATGGCAAGATTTCCTTCCTTATTAAGGTAAAATAATGCTTCATCATATATATAAACCACATTTTCTTCATCCATTCATCCATTGATGAACACTCAGGTTGTTCCCATCTGCTGTTGAGCATAATTTTGCAATTAACATTGGAGTGCAGATACTTCTTCCAGATTTGTTTTTTAAATTCTATTGTAGTTTATATTAAGATACACTGAGACAAAAACATTCTACATAAAGATTTTACCACTCATTAGATATGTTCTATTTTAATACATATATGTAAAAGTAAGCATATAGCAACAAAGTGAAATGATTAATCGAACCCTGCTTTTTAAGTAAAAGTTCCCATTAAGGTATCACACTGAAAAGCTTAAAAGGATGAGTAAATAGATTGTTGGTAGTACCACTAAAAAATAAGTATGAGTGGCCTTTACAAAAATCCATCCTTACCATTTAAAGTTCTAAACTACAGCTAACTTGGGGGATAAATGGGAAGCGGATAGAGGGAGGGAATCAAACAGGTTAAGATGCTGTTTCAAGTTTTCACATGAAACTCTGAAAGGACAATAAACTCCTAAACTCCAAGGACTGATTCCTACCAGCTTCTGGACCACCTAGGTCACTACGATAGGGCAAGTGATTTGTTAATACCCTCTAAATGAATGCCAATAATACTGAATTTTTTCCCACAAAGTTTGTATTTATATGATAGATAGCTTTCATAACTTTAGTTTTTTGGCCTAAACCTATCCCCTGGTCACTATCACAGTTTAAATATTAAACATAGTTGTAGGCATTATGACAAGAACTTTACAGATATGAAGTCATTTAATTTTCACTGTATCTTTATGAGTTAGCTGCTATATTAAAATTCCATTGCTGGTCAGAAGAATACTCAAGACTATGAGTTTCTGTCATGGTAGGAACTATGTGGAATTTATCCGTGTAGTGTTCCTCTACTCTCAGTCCCTGCTGCTCACCATAGCTAGTACCTGGGACATACCAGATATTCAGCGTTGGTCTCTTGAATAAAGCAGCGATCCCAAACTTTTTGACAACAGGGACCGGTTTCGCGGAAGGCAATTTTTCCTTGGCCAGCAGGAAGAAGGGGAGGAGGATGGTTTCGAGACGAAACAAGCTCAGATCATCAGGCATTAGATTCTTATAAGGAGCTTGCAACCTTGATCCCTTGCATATACAGTTCACAATAGGGTTCCTGCTCCTATGAGAATCTAATGTCACCATTGATCTGAAACTAAAAGCACAGATATGATTCTAGATTAGCCTTGAACAACATCTCAGTTATGATTCTTTATTCCAGGGGTTCCCACCCCTGGGCCAGTACTGGTCCATGACCTGTTAGGAAATGAGCCACACAGTAGGAGGTAAGCAGTAGGTGAGTGAGCATTGCTGCCTGAGATCTTGATTGTATTTCCTTTTAAGATATACCCAGAAGTGAGACTGATGGGTCATAAGATAGTTATGTTTTTATTTTTTTCCAGGAACCACCATGTTTTCCATAGCACCTGCACCAGTTTATATTCCCACTTACAGTGTTGATTTCGCTCACGCGTGGTAACTAAAATTGTCAAACTCATAAAAAATAGAATGGTGGTTTCCAGGGGCTAGGGGCACAGGAAAATTGGGGTTTCTGGTCAATGTGTATAAAGTTTCAGTTATATAAGACATATAAGTTTTAGAGATCTGCTGTATAACATTCTGAGTATAATTATGTATACTGTATTTTGCATTTAATAATTTAATAGAAGAGATCTCAAGTTAAGTGTTCTTACCAGAATTAAAAAAAAAAGATGACAAAGAAAGTAAGGTACAATACTTTAATTGTGCATGCATATTTTTCTGGGGTGATATCAACTCTCTACATAGATCAGGAAAGAATATTGAAAAGGTTGATGGGTGTATGTTGTAGACATCTATTGATTATTCTGCCATCCCTCTTCTTAAAACTTATTCTAATTTTCATTCAAGTATATATCCTTCCCCTTTGACCCAGGGGTAGGTCCTGGTTTCTTTGGAGCCATCAGCACATTTCAGTCCTCCTGCCTGAAGAAAGGCTCAGGGTGAGTCCATGACCACCTCACCTACGAGCAGTGTGACTCTCAGACTCCTTGATGTGAACGCTGGAAAGGTGATAGCCCGGCTGTGCAGGTCAGATGTGGTTCAGTAGCCTTGCTTAATAAGGGTATAGAACCCTGATAAAAAGCCAACACACGGAGAAGGAAATGGCAGAGAAATAAACCCAACTCCCCAATAAAACCCATCTAAAACTTTTTTTTAATCTATGGAGATTGTTAGTTACTCTAAGACAATAATTTCTGTTATCACTTAGGCCAGTTTGAGCTGGGTATTTTGTTACGTGCAGTGGAAGACTGTTATATCAATAATCATTAATCAATATTATATCTTCAAAGGTTTTCTTTTGCTTCAAAATCTTGCTATACCTAAGTATTTCTCAATGGTACTTTAAGAGTAAGTACATTCTAGATCAGTCAGTAAAAGCTAGGTTTGATTTTTTATGTAAAGCATAGATATGGCTATAATTGAAATGTATTTATACACTCATTCAACCAACTCATTCATTTTTAGAATGCAAAATGCAGCCTAAGGAGCCTGAATTCAAGATCATTATGACATTATATGTTGACTACTCCAGGCATTATTCTAAACTAAAAATGTTTTAAGGGCCCACAGATCCCTATAAGATTATACTGTCTTTAAATTCCACTTACTTTCCGTATATAGATGTATAAATTCAGAGAAACAGTCAAGAGTATAGATGGATACCGTAATTATCATTATTTGGATGATTTTAAACCAAGTCAATAACTAAACTAACAGTACCATAAAATGTTTAATGTTAAATACACAATTAAAAAAGAAATGTGCTTTGTATCATAAAGTAGTGGGCAGGTTATCCCTGCCATTCTAAACCTGTAAAGGAATAAATTTACGGATAAGCAATATAGTAAGCAGAAGAAGCGGTAGGTTCAGGGGTAAAGGCATAAGGGGGTCAAATCACAATCCGAGCTGCAGAAAGTAAGCACAATGCCTTTATACTCACCATTGTTTCAGTATGTCATACCTATCCTGCCTGCCTCTCAGCAGAGTGATTTAAAAAGATGAGAAAAAGTTGGGATTGGAAAAAGGGCAAAATGTGTATGAAAGTACTATGTGAAATGCTACATAAAAATGAGATCTTTATTATTTGTATTATCATTTATTCTTATGGGTTGAACTGTATAATTTAAAAAGATGTGTTTAAGTACTAATTCCTGCTACCTGCAAATGTGACCTTGTTTATAAACAAGGTCTTTGCAGATGTAAGAAAGTGTAGATAATGTCATACTAGATTAGGATGCCTCTTAAATTCAATTACTGGTGCTGCTATAAGGAGAGATTTGGATACAGACAGAAACACACAGAGAGATGACAGGGTAGGAACTACAAGGCAGCGATGCAGCCAAGAAGTGTAAGAGATAAGAGATTGCCAGCAACCACTGGGGGCTAGGAGGAAGCAACAAAGAATTCTTCCCTAGAGCCTTCAGAAGGGGTATGGCCTTGCTGATGCCTTGATTTTAGACTTCTAGCCTCAGTAACTATGAGACAATACATTTCTGTTATTTTAAACCACCCACGTTGTGGTAATTTGTTACCGCAGCCATAACAAATACATTTATCTAAAGAAAAGCAAGTTGCTTAGGGGATACATTGTGTTTTGAACCCCTGCTTTCTGACTAGCCAAAGCTTCCTTAATCAAGATTTTTTTATTTTCTGTTAGTGGCTATTTATTGTAACTATATAAAAAGGCAGCAAATGATTTTTCTTTTTTGAGAGTGGGACAATGCGGAAAAGCAAACCTAGTGAAGTTTAATGCAGGTAAGATCAGCACCTGTTTTCTTTCATCTGTCTCTCCCAGCTGTTCGCATTGCAGCCCACTAATTGCCTACCTAAAATCTCAGCCTGGCCATACTTCAAAGACAACCCAAATATAAGGTGTATAGTATTGAAACCTCATCGGTCTATATTCGTTTCCCTATTTATCCAAGCAAGGGGTTTAAATACCCAGTGTTAATCTTCAGCTTCTGCATTATACTTCAATTCCTTCTTCCTTACACTTAGCCCCAGACTCCAGTGGTCTAAGGCTTACTCCTGTGCAGGTTACCTTCCATTTGCACCCCCATCTCCACTTTCCACCTTTCTCTACCATGTTTCTGTAGGAGAAGGCTGAGCTATCCATATATTTAGCAGACTCCCATGGGCCCGGACTTCTGTTTGAGTTGAACAATAAAGAGCCAAGCAGGACATGAGAAAGAGGGAGGAGAATGAGATCGATGTATTTCTCTTACTGGCTTTTGCCATGAGAAGTAATCATGGGCTAACACCTTAACAAAAGGTCTCCATTCAACTCTCTCCATCTGGGCTTCAGGAAGTCCTCCCTCCTTTCCTGTCTTAGGACCCTCTGCTGAAGCTTCTCCCATTTACTAGCCCCAGCTTGCTATATCTTCATGATTTCTTTATATCTTGAGTATAGTTTTGTCAATAATCCTTTTTGTAAAAAAAAAAAAAAAACTCCTCCTCAAATTGTTTGAGTATGTCATTGATTTCCTGTTGGAATTGATTGATAATGCCCCTCTCAATCTCAGCCTTCCCTGTCCTTGTATATCTCTGATCACGCATCAGGCCTTCTGCTACCTCCTGTTTTTTTCTTATCAGTATCTGCATGCCCGATTCTAAACCCCCACTGAATCATTGGGAAACTTCTCTATAAGTTGACCAACTAGATGAGGATCATGTCATTCGTTCATTTATCAATATTTACTGAGTAACACCTCTATAGTAGAAACTGTTCTAGGTGCCAGGAAAAAACTGATGAACAAGGTCAAGACCTTTACTGTTATGGAGCTCACAAATCTAAGGAGGGTAATAATTGATACACAACATCAAAATAAATTTTAGATAAAACTTTGCAAACTTTTTGAAAAATTTCTTTCTGGAATTCTAGAAATGTTAAATTTTCTTATATTCTCTGAATCATGTTCTAACCTGATTTTTACCTTGAGACTCTAATGCTAGTGTCTAAGAGTATAATTTGCTTTTTTAACAGCAGTATTGAAGTAAAACTGACATAGCATAAATTTTACTCATTTTAAGTAAATTTACTGCCTTGTGCAAATATCACCACAATCTAATTTTAGAACATTTCCATCACCCCCAAAAAAATCCCTTTGTGTCCATTTGCATTCACTCCCCATTGTCATCCCTTACCCCAAGTAATCCTTAATCCACTTTTATGACCATAAGTTTTCCTTCCCTGGATATTTCATAAAATGGAATTGTACAATATGTGGTATTTCATATCTGGCTTGTTTTATTTTTACTTAGCATAATGTTTTTTACTGCTTTTTATTGCTGAGTAGTATTCTATGGTATGGATATACTACTTTTTATCGATTTACAAGTTGGTGGACCTTTGAATTATTTCTAATTTTTAGCCATTATGAAAAATATATACAGGTCTTTATGTGGACATGTTTTTATTTCTCTTGCTTAGATACCTAGGAGTAGAAGCTCTGGTTTGTATTGTAAACTTACGTTTAACTTTCTAAGAATTTGCCCAGCTGTTTTCCAAAACGACTGCACCATTGTGCATTCAATAAGAAATGTAACAAGTTTTCCCACTTCTCTACATTCTCACCCATTTGTTATTATCTGGCTTTATTTATTTATTTATTTATTTATTGAAATGGAGTTTCGCTCTGTCGCCCAGGCTGGAGTGCAGTGGCGTGATCTTGGCTCACTGCAAGCTCCCCCTCCCGGGTTCACGCCATTCTCCTGCCTCAGCGTCCCGAGTAGCTGGGACTACAGGCCTCCGCACCACGCTCGGCTAATCTTTTGTATTTTTAGTAGAGACGGGGTTTCACAGTGTTAGCCAGGATGGTCTCGATCTCCTCACCTCGTGATCCGCCTGCCTCGGCCTCCCAAAGTGCTGCGATTACAGGCGTGAGCCACTGCGCCTGGCCTATTGTCTGGTTTTTGAATTATAGTAGTAGTAATGAATAGAAAGTAATATCTTATCATTTTGTGTTTTTTTCTAATGACAAATGATGTTAAATATCTTTTAATGTACATAATGCCGCTCATATATCTCCTTTGTTGTAATGTCTAGTCAAATGTTTTCCTTATTTTTATTGGATTTATATTGTGTGGTTTAATAAATTTAGGATACAAATTATTAATGTAAAATTTGCAAATATTTTATCCCAGGCTACTGCTTATCTTTTCATTAATATAATTTTTAATATATCATATGCATACATCTAGGCAGATATATGTGCATATATATGGGTGTGTGTGTCTGTATGTACGTATGCCCTTTGGACTTTGTGCATTACCTGTAAGTCAGAAAGTCAGAGTCAGCCAGATTCTAAATCCTTTCTTGTAACCTGCCCTGAATTTGAATGAATAGTCTGAGAACTTTGGGACTTCAGGAGACACAGAATATATACCTGTCTGCCATAAATAAACCCATGTGCTAAATTTGAAAGAAAAAAAGCCAAGTGATGGCACTATTCTGAATATTGGCATTGTCATATTTGTGTTGTGAAAAGTTCTTATCATTTTACTCTCAGGAACTTAAACATCAATAATCCATCATCACAATCACAATCCTTATTGTCTGACATTAAGATAGCTCGAGACTCAAAAAGTCCATCATTTTCCACATTGATGTATAATTTAATTTCATATCATAGGTACCATTTTATATACCAGAAACTAAATAAATATATGGTAATCATTCCTTGCGGTATGATTCTCTTATTTGGGAGCATGATTTGCCACAAAACTTGCATAACCATTAATAGAAAGTACAGAAAGATTTAGAGCATCTAAATGAAATCTTTCTCACTTCTTCTATCAAAGTATTTTGGACCAGCCAGCAGGACATCTTCTACTGCTCATATAATTTTAGAAACTGATTAAATAACCTATTTGTGTGCACGTGGTGGAAAATCTAAATGAAGCTGTTATTTTATAAACTGTGATTCTACAACTTTAGCAAAATTTTTATCACAGTGAGAGTGAAAAAGGAATAGCACATTATTGTGTCCAGGAAATATGCCACTAAAGTATAATATTGTACAACTATGAGATCTTAAGATACATTATCATTAGCAAGCTACTTTTACAGAGAAGCAGGTAAACTGGGATCAGTTACTGTAAGCACCATGATCTTTTCCCCAATTAATTTTTGTAATTCACTCCGAAGTTGAATGAAAGAACATAAACATTTTCTTTGCTTTGGTGCTATTGATCATGTCTTCCCAGAATGCTTCATTAGCACCAACTTTGCCCTGGCCCTGCACACAGCTGATTTGGAGATATCCCTCTTTGTTAAAATCGGTAGGTTAATCCCTTCAGCATGACAAGAGTGCAGATTCTAGACCTGGACAGGCCCCAGCTACATCCTTCTTGTATTTCTCCTACTTCTCTCCAGATAATTTTTCTACAGACTATAAAATACCCTATTGATTGAAGTCTAAAGATTGTAAATGTAATTTATGAGCTGTATTTGATTAAATGTGTGACTGCTGCGAGGGACATAGACATTTCTTCCTGTTAGTGGAAGCCTTGTGCAAATCACTTGAACCTAACCTAGCAGGCTGGAAGCATCTTCTTTAAAATGTTGAGTCAAAATTGCAAGCTATGGGAATACTCGTTAAGCGAACATAAGTAGTAGTCATATCAGCAAAGGTGTTTTAGGTTGATAATTGCTGTGTTATCATTATTAAACATTATGATCTATATTTATCACCTGATCAAATTTGTACCATTTAGCATTGAAGCAACTTGAGTATTTAAAGGGCAAAGTTTTTCTGATTAAAGAAGCAATTGAAATAAATGACCACTACATTTGCCTTCCAACATTAAGATGCTATGAAATATTCAGCATTAGCTCCCATGATAACAAAAATAATGCACTCAATTAATGCAGGTATTTTAGGACCCAATTTGGCTGAACCTGTAGGAATGGAGGAGGAAAGATCTTAGTTGATAGAAATTCCATTCATTATGATGGTTTATTTGTCAGGCACTATCTTTTCCTACTTTCAGAATTGGGCATAAATGCCTTATATAAACATTGCTTTTATTCTTCTAAAATCCATACATCTCAAGTAATCAAATCAGTATATTGGATAAGCACTCAAATACCTAACGTAATTGAGGTCCTGAAAAAGCCTTATGGAAGTCCATGATTTTTGGTCTGATGGAGCCATATTAATGGGAATCATCTTTAAAGCATTAAACGACCTGTTAAATTGCCAGAGTTCAAGTCCCTTGCCAATACTTGTGAAAGCCCCAGAGAATGGCTCAGTAAAATCAAAAACTAATCATGAAAAGTATGAAGTATTATTCATAATTGAGGACATAATCTATGCTTCGTCTTTGTAATTATGTAATAGTCAAGCTCTGAAGTATACATTTTCCAAATTCTAAACCACCTGCACAATTGGAAATCATATCAAAGTAAATATGAAGACTTGTACATTTTTAGTATACATAATTTTAAGAAAGAACAGTTTAAGGTTTCATTGAAAACTATTGTTACTTAATACATTAAACTTATTCAAATAAAATCTTATTAAAATTATAGATTAATTATAAATTAAAATCATAGATTAACACTGCAATTACTATACTATACTGCAATTACTGTATCAGCCATGACAATTTGAAGCATTCTTTCTATTCTGCTTTGTTTTCATGAAAGATTGTAGCACAAATTTCTTTTAAAATAGACACTCTGCTTTTTTAGTTTTAACAGATTTATTGAGGTATAATTGATATAAAAAGAACTACACATATTTGATATGTACAGTTTTATGACCCTACTTATAGTCAGCCATTAACATAATTGACTAAAAATAACTCACTAAACCCATTCGTCATTTTTACTAGAAATGTGCACAAACCTTGTCCTGGGCATATCATATTTTATTTAAGTTTCATTTATTTCATTTAACTCAGAGAGTGAAAGATGCAAAAATGCTTAACACAGGGGAAAAAAGTCAAAGATCCAAATCAATACATGCAGTATTTCAGAGGATTTCACTGTAGAAGTAATGGCTAATCTTTCTATTTAGTAGAATTATTTTGTCTGCTTAAATATGGTCAATTAACTTCAACATAACAATAAGGCAGAGGACCAACAATTTGTCTTTTTATTCATTCAGCAAATCAAAATATATTGTTGTTCCATTTTATTTCTGAAGTGAGGTCCTCGGCAAAAGCCCTTGTTTCTTGGACTGACTAGGCCATACTAATGGGAAATCATAAATGAAGCATTGAACAACCTGTTCAAGGGTCTCACTGATACATGTAGAAACTCTGCCACCAACTCAAAACAAAGGTGTCACTGGTGAACAATATCAACATGGTGGCTATTTAACTAGCTTTTAGTATAGTGCAAAGGAGATATTGCTAAACAAATAACATGAGGAACTATAGAATTACCAGTACGATTTAAGCATATAAAACTCAGGTGTGCTTTAGTAGTTCCTCAATTACACAATAAAGTGTTCTTTTTCAACAAATATTACAATTTTTAGAGGGATGTTAGGGGTCAAGATCTAAATCCAACAACTTTTGTAATAATTTTTTCCAAGGCAATACTCATGGTAAGAAAAGTATTTTAAGCTGTAGCAAAGCTATAAAAATATTTTATCAATATAGTCTCCGTTTTAAAGCAACTAAAAAACAAACTCTGTGCTGGGATAAATTAGAGTTAAGATATTGCCCTTTAGCAATTAAGAAGTAAAGTGGAGAAAACAGTGGTTATTTTCCAGGCTGATGAGAAAGACTTCATTTCAATCACTACATTTGAGAGTTTGCCTGCAGATACCTCAAGATCACCATTTAGGAGTTTACTTTACACATTTTCTGATGCTTCAGAAACATTGTCTGAGAGTCAACACCTAGGAGTAACACATTTTTCCAAACTGGAAAACAAAATCAACCCCACACTTTAAAATCTTCCTTTGACATTTGTAGAAAAAACAATTGGTCTTTTTCTGATGTGACTAGCATCTTATAAACTAGTTCAGGATTCCTTCTGGAATAGTCTTTCATGTCTGCTTCTCTCCCCTAGCTTCTCAGACTCTAACAGCTGTTTGCTTTGTCTTGAAAGTTAAAATGGATTCCAAAGTAGAAATGCATATATCACTTGAAATTTTTCAAATCTCACATATTTTTCTAAAGTGCCAGATTAAATTTTTTTAAAAAAATCCTTTTGCCTTACAGAAAGATTTGCCTTAAGTACCATGTGCAAAATATTATTTTGTTATACAATTGTTAAGTAATATTTACTCCCATTTATGCATGACATTCTTCACATAATAGCTAAACGGTTATTTTTTTCTCAAAACCTCTTAGTAAAATTCAAAGCACAAACTGTACTGAAATATAAAAATGTATGCAATTAGATAGTTACATATTGACCAAGGCAATAAATAATTAAATAAAGAATGTGTAGATTAGATTTGTTTCTTTTGGGTGTGACAAAATGTCAGAATATTGCAAAGAGTATTCATCTTTCATTTTAGCTTGGATTTTCTTTCTGAACACTTTTGGAATTAAAAGAAAATAGATGAAAGAACTTTTTAAGAAGGCATAAAAAGTCAACCTAAACGAAATGATTGAAATAAGAGCTAATAATTTTTGTAACTTTGGAAGATTAGAAGAAAAAATAATATTATGTAGTATTATATGTATTGCTCTTAATTTTTTTTGTTTTTAGACTTGCAAGGTTTTTTCTCTCTGCTAGAAAACTATTTATAGGCTAATAGGCTTTTTTACCTGTTAAAACAATTGTTTCTCCCCATCTAAATTTCTTTCCAACTATTAAATAATCCCCCAGGTGTGAGACACAAAACAATATTTCTTGTGTTACAGTAGATCTCCTTAACTGTAAGCTCCTTGAAGACAGAGACAGTATGTCTTTTTCCCTTAGTATCTATTTCCATGAGCAAGCACAGTGCCTGGCACAGAACAGCACTCACTAAACATTTTCTAAATGAATTAATACATGAATTCATACTATTTCTGAACAGTAAACTATGAAGTTTGGAGGTACCATAAGGTCGAAGCTAAAATGAATAATACAAACAATTCATATTATTAATTTAGTAGCATAATCTTTATTGTGATATATAAAAATCAATCACAAATGTTAAAATGTTTGTATAGATTAATATGCTATTATTATTCAGGTACAGCCTTGCCACAACTTCCTTGGATTAACTGGGAGAAACAAGGGGACCAGAGAGAATAAAAGGTGACATAGATTTTGAAGCCTCTGCTGCTTTCCTTCCTCTGATTGGGTTGAGAAGGATTTGGGTTCTAATTCCTAATCCTAAACCATTGCGCTTTCACCAACAGAGGACTTAGCTTTCCCTATATGATTTTAGCAGAGGGATAATGCCAGATATTATCCCAGATTCCTTCTGTCTAAGGGACAAAGGGCACCATACTCAAGCAATCTTAGGAATTCCAGGTGAGCCTTGATGGAGAAACAGAGGGCTGAAAACTCCTGGGGTTTCCTGAGTTACAAAATCAGTCATTCCTCCCTGGCTGAGCTGGATACATGGAAATGTAGTGGACAAGAAAAGATATTGCCTTTTTGTTCTTAGAGCATATGGTCCAGTGAAGATGACAGAAATTAATCAAATAACCACAGAAATATTTTATAAATGTCATTTTGCAAATGAGAGATTTTTGTGTTCTGACTGAAAGGGGATGTGCATATGAATCTTCAGAGGGATCTCAAATAATGTTCTCTCCTGACTAGTTTCTCATGTACCCTTTTACGTGGGTGGAAGGGACTTATGCTGAGAAAAGCACACTTTCTTTCTCTTCCCTAGAGGGCTGGAATCTGCATGTAGGTAGAGCAAGAGGGTATAGGTTTTAAGGGAATCTCTCCCCTAAACCTATCCCTATCCTATCAACATCTTCTGGAAATTCCCACAAACCAAAATATATTGGGTTTAACAAACAAGAAAAACTTGAACAGAAAAAATATAAAAGAGATAAATATAATATTCACATAAACAAACTGCAAACTCTTCCTGAAAATCGATCTAGAAATTACAGTAAATGGAGAAATCCTTGAATAATATCAATATCTTACAACTACCAGCTCTCCACCTATATACAGAGATCATCTGAGTCCCTTCTTATTGGTTTGTAGAAACAGGTCCTGCATAGGTCTTTATATAATTCCACTTTAAAATCATTTTCTAATGAAACATTCTTTAAATAATTGTTCATTTTCTATTTAACAAGATAGCATGAAAAATATTCACTTTCGGTGACTCATTATCCCCAGTGTTTGCTGGCATAAAAAAAATCATGAGTGCCTTTTATCTTCTTTCAAAGTTAACATAAAACATACTTCAGGTACTTCTTCAAAAAGATTACTTCCCACAAGAAATAATCATGTGTTGAAAATGACCTTCCATTAATGCAATTACTAAGACATTATCCCCAAGATATACCACTTGTATTTTGTTGTGGGAGATCTTAATTTGTTTATTACCTCATGACAGCAGCTTCCTACTGATGGGAGAAAAACATTTGCTTCCCCTTGGGTCTGGCATGCCCTAACTGCTGGTTCTCAGTTATCAACAATGTTTCTTGATTAGATGTGGTCAGTCAGATCCTTAGATAGCTATTATTTATGTATCTTCACAGATGGTCTGTCACCTCACCCAGCAGTACAAAGTGTACACTATAGAAACATGTTATTTATTTGTATCTTCTATTAAGAACTTTTTTAAATGCTTGTTCCGTATTTTCAGCAGTTTTTCTATAAGGGATGGGGAAAATATTGATATAAAATTGGTAATTCAAGTAACATGTTTTGTGCCAATTCATTAAGGTAACTGTACATTTAGTAATGAGTCTCTCTTATACAGATTTTTTAATGAAATGAATAAAATCATTTATAATGATATTCTCTGAGGCCTGTGAGGCTTTTAGCCCCCAGGATACCTAGACTGTAAACTAGTATGTGCCCTTCTTGGCAATGGAACAGCAGTCCTGGCATCATTCACACAAGTATGTTTATGTAGTTCCCAAAGAAGTCTATTACTGAAATCTGGGAGTGGACCCCAAGAGAAGATGCATTGCTGAGAATTCTTTCATCAACCAGTACATAGGCTGTGTATTTGGCAGGTGCACACACCTCCTTTTAAAAATGTATTCTATCAAATAGCTGCACATATCCTGTCATTCATTCTTCAACGTCCCATGGCCAAAAAGACAAAGATGCATTAAAGCAGGAAATGTCTGCATTGAAAAGATAAAAATTAAGTTTAGATTTAAACTACTTCAATGAATTCAGCAGAGGGCCCCAAATTCAAGCAGCTAGTATAATAGCTGTCTTTTTAAGGTTGGTTTTAGCTATATCTTGAATAAACAATTATCCTACTACAGAAGAGGCTAGATTTATGCACAAAGACTAAATACAAGTGAATTTTTGCTTCCATGTTCCCAGGAATGCTTTAACTTGTTAAATATTAAAACCAATCTGGTGTTCAATAGGAATCGATATAATTTCTTAAGAAAAAAATGATACACTCAGTACATGAGAATGAATAACCTAACTTGGACATTTCGTGCAATTCAAACCAGTGGTTCAATTTTCAGGAAAATAATACCATATGTGCTACTGTAATCTAATAAATGTGCTTATGAATTTTAGGTACTGTTCAATTTAAAATGATTGTTCCCATATCCCAAAAGTGATTAGAAAATAAGGCCATAAATCTATTTTTAAATGGCCTTTTACCAGAGATTATAATTATTGAGTGGACAATGATTGGAAGTCATTTTTCACCTGCAAAAGCCAGACAAGAGGTGTTTAGATCATTGGGGTGGCAACTCGGTTTTACCATTTCACAACTCTGGGGCCTTTAGAAAGTGAGCTACCTGTTTGTACCTCAGTTTTATTATTTGTAAAAGGAATAATAATCAAATCTACTTTATATACTTTTTTTGGTCAGAATTACTTAATACCAAAAAAAGTTATTATTCCGAACAAAGGAAACCTGTAACAAGCATAGCATTAAGGCTGGCTTTTAGAACTTCAAACCTTTAACCAGGTGTTATCTCTAAGGAGCTCTTATTTCCTGCTATAACGAACATTCATGGGGTTGTAGACATCCCACAATACGGAAAGAAGAGCCACAGAATAAAAGAAAATTTCTTAAACGGAAAAAAAATATGTAGGATAGTTGATAGTTGGTTGATAGTTAAAATGCAATCAGCTTCCATATCTGTGGGTTTCACATCAACAAGAATTGAAAATATTCAGGAGAAAACTGGGTGGTTTCTTCTGTGCTGAATATGTATAAACTTTTTTTTTTTTTTTTTTTTTTTTTTTTAAGACAGAGTCTCGCTCTGTCGCCCAGGCTGGAGTGCAGTGGTGCGATCTCGGCTCTCTACAAGCTCCGCCTCCCGGGTTCACGCCATTGTCCTGCTTCAGCCTCCTGAGTAGCTGGGACTACAGGTGCCTGCCACCACACCTGGCTAATTTTTTATATTTTTAGTAGAGACGGGGTTTCACCATGTTAGCCAGGATGGTCTCAATCTCCTGACCTCGTGATTCACCTGCCTCGGCCTCCCAAAGTGCTGGGATTACAGGCGTGAGCCACCGCGCCTGACCTGTATAGACTTTGTTCTTGTCATTTTTCTCTACACAATACATTATAATAACGATTAACCTAGCATTTACATTGTATTAGGTATTATAATCTGGAGATTATTTAATGTATATGGGAGGACGTACATAGGTTGTATGCAAATAGTGTGCCATTTTATATCAGGGACTTGAACATCCAGGGATTTGGGGATTTGTGGGGATTTGGGAGCTAATCTCCCATAGATGCCAATGAACAACTGTATATACTACTGCATTTTCACTATAGTGATAATTTTAAATCCATCTACACAAGAACACACAGAAGACCAATTTTTGCTCATTAATTTGTCCACAACACCCAACACTATTCTTGCACATAGGTGTTCACTAAATGTTTGTTGAATAAATGGAATGACTCAATTAATGAATGAATTAACCCTGAGCCCATGCCATCTCTTCTTCAAGTACTATAGTGCAAAACATAGCAGAAGTCAGAATGATTTTTGTTTGTGGTTAGCGAGTATTAATATCCTCAAAAAAAGTATAATTATTGCAGTTTGATAGGTAACTTAAACAAATGAGCCAAAAGAAAAAGGGGCAAAGATGTGAGTTAATCAATAGACAGATATTATAATTGGTGACCCAACGATTGTTCAGGTAAAAAAGGTAATGAAGAGTGAGACTGAGTTAGTGACAGAAAAGTGCTCAGAAAGAGGGATTCTCTTGTAAATGTTGATTTTATGCAAAGAGTGGGAGAGAGTGAGAAGGGAAAAGAGAGACAGATTATCTAATTAATTCAATGCATATCACTGAGAGTCTTCCAACTCACCACTGCAGGTATTTAGTTAGCTACCTGAACAACTATGTTTTTGAACAATTTAGTTTTCTTTGTAGGTTTTTTTTCTCAGCATCAAATATTAGTTTGCTTAATCAAAAATATCACTTTTACATGAAAAAAACAGAAGTTACATTCCATTATCAACGTATTCATTAATTCAGCAAAAGTTTGTTGAGCACTTATGCCTACAACTAATCAATTTTGAAATAATTCAGTGAATAAGAGACAAAAATACCTACATCATGGAGTGTACATCCTAGTGGAAAAGAGACAGAAAATATAAGTTAATACATTAAAAGCTGATAGGTACTGTGCAGAAATAAGCCCCAAATGATCTCCTTTGATTTCAGGTCTCACATCCAGGTCACACTGATGCAAGGGGTGGGTTCCCATGGTCTTGGGCAGCTCCACCCCTGTGGCTTTCCAGGGTACAGCCTCCCTCCCAGCTGCTTTCACAGGTTGTCATTGAGTGTCTGCGGCTTTTCCAGCCAAACGGTGCAAGCTGTAGCTGGATCTACTATTCTGGGGTCTGGAGGACAGTGGCCCTCTTCTCACAGGTCCATAAGGTGGTGCCCCAGTAGGGACTCTGTGTGGGGGCTCCGACCCCACATTTCCCTTCTGCACTGCCCTAACAGAGGTCCTCCATTAGTGCCGCACTCCTGCAGCAAACTTCTGCCTGGGCATCCAGGCATTTCCATACATCTGAAATCTAGGCGAAGGTTCCCAAACCCAAATTCTTGATTTCTGTGCATTCGCAGGCTCAACACCTCTCCAAGCCTTGGGGCTTCCACCCTCTGAAGCCATGGCCCAAGCTCTATGTTAGCCCCTTTCAGCCACAGCTGGAGCAATTGGGATGCAGGGCACCAAGTCCCTAGGATGCCCACAGCATGGGGACTCTGGACCTGGCCCACGAAACCAGTTTCTCCTTGGCCTCCGGGCCTGTAATGGAGGGGCTGTAGTGAAGACTTCTGGCATGCCCTGGAGACATTTTCCCCATTGTCTTGGGGATTAATATTTGGCTCCTTGTCACTTATGCAAATTCCTGCAGCTGGCTTCAATTTCTCCTCAGAAAATGGGTTTTTCTTTTCTATCACACTGTCAGGCCAATAATTTTCTGAACTTTTATGCTCTACATCCCTTATAAAACTGAATGCAACCCAAATGTCCAACAATGATAGACTGGATTAAGAAAATGTGGAACATATACACCATGGAATACTATGCAGCCATAAGAAATGATGAGTTCATGTCCTTTGTAGGGACATGGATGAAATTGGAAATCATCATTCTCAGTAAACTATCGCAAGAACAAAAAACCAAACACCGCATATTCTCACTCATAGGTGGGAATTGAACAATGAGAACACATGGACACAGAAGGGGAACATCACACTCTGGGGACTGCTGTGGGGTGGGGGGAGGGGGGAGGTATAGCATTGGGAGATATACCTAATGCTAGATGACGAGTTAGTGGGTGCAGCGCACCAGCATAGCACATGTATACATATGTAACTAACCTGCACATTGTGCACATGTACCCTAAAACTTAAAGTATAATAATAAAAAAATAAATTAATTAAAAATTAAAAATTAAAAAAAAAACTGAATGCCTTTAACAACACCCAACTCACCTCTTGAATGCTTTGCTGCTTAGAAATTTCTGCCACCAGATACTCTGAATCATCTCTCTCAAGTTCAAAGTTCCACAAATCTCTAGGGTAGGGGCAAAATGCTGCCAGTCTCTTTGCTAAAACATAACAAGAGTCACTTTTGCTCCAGTTCCCAACAAGTTCCTCATCTCCATCTAAGACCACCTCAGCCTGGACCTTTTTGTCCATATCACTATCAGACTTTTGGTCAAAGCCATTCAAATATCTAGGAAGTTCCAAACTTTCCACATTTTCCTATCTTCTTCTGAGCCATCCAAACTGTTGCAACCTCTGCCTCTTACCTAGTTCCGAAGTCATTTCCACATTTTCAGGTATCTTTTCAGCAACACTCCCACTTCTAGTACCAATTTACTGTATTAGTTCCTTTTCACATTGCTGATAAAGACATACTCAAGACTGGGGGAAAAAAAGAGGTTTAATTGGACTTACAGTTCCACATGACTGGGGAGGCCTCAGAATCACAGTGGGAGGTGAAAGGCACTTCTTACGTGGTGGTGGCAAGATAAAATGAGGAAGATGCAAAAGCAGAAACCTCTGATAAAACCATCAAATCTTGTGAGACTTATTCACTACCATGAGAACTGTATGGGGGAAACCACCCCCATGATTCAAATTGTCTCCCACCAGGTCCCTCCCGCAACATGTGGAAATTATGGGAGTATAATTCAAGATGATATTTGGGTGGGGACACAGAGTCAAACCATATCATATATATATAATATATATATATAATACACACATACACACACACAAACACACACACACACACACATAAACATACACACATACACACACACACACACATATATATATATAAATGATATGTTTGAGCCCATGTCATCACCTCCAGAGGTAGCTGAAGGGTTTTGTGCGGAGTTCCACATGTTTTCTGCTGTCATTTTATCGTTAGGGGACTACAGTGTGGCAAGTAAGGCACTCACACAAAATATAAGGAGACACAAGGAACCTCAGTAATCAAGATAAATAATATTGTAATACAATGCAATATTTTAAAAATCAAAATCCAACAATCTGTGATGAATAAAATATACACATTTTAAATAAACGATCAGATGTTACACAACATCGTTCGCCTTACCCCAAACCAGAACCTGACATTTCAACCCTTCCTTTTTCTGCATAGCAATGAGGCAACTGGTAAAGTTTACACGGTATCCTTCCTAGGGTTATATTAGTATGTCATAAAAGAAATCTCTAATTACATATTGTCAGACCAACGTTGTGAAGCTCAGCCTTTCTATTGACCCCTTAAAAGTTACCCCAATGCATGTGCCTCTTAACTTTGCTTGAAAACAGAGCTGGGTCCACAGAGCCTGGTGCTGAAAATCAGGCACCTATTTCACAAATCACAAATGCATCCATGGCTGCAGAGGACTGTTCACTCTTTAATCAGTCACACCAGGCATATTTTACCAAAAAAAAAAAAAAATTATGTGCTGCTATGCTGTGCTGGTTGGAAATGGTTGGAAATGATCACACCCTTTTAGATGCTGATGATAAATTATGTCTCAGTCAGTGTTTCCAAAAATAAACTATTCCTTCAAACTGCATATTAGATACAGTACAACATTAAATCCTGTGTGATTATTCATCATTCTCTCCAGGGCTAGCCCAAGGCAAAATTGTAAAGCAGGTTAAGTTTATCCTTCACAGACCGCCTCTCTCAGTAATGCATGCAGATGCCCATTCTCCTCGACTACCCAAAGGCCTTACTGACCTGCCCCTTGGACTCTGGAGCCCTTTAGAAAGCACACCAAACTTTAGCCCATTTCCTACTATGGAAATATGCTTGCTAGTTTTACAATCCCTCAGGACCTCAAAATAGGTGGCTGTGATTGGAAAACTATCACTCAAAATAATTCACCTGGAGTTATAATAGCCAATAATATTTCCATGTGTTTTCATGGGTAGAGTATTATTTTAATAGAGACTGGAAAGAAAAAAACACACACCTCATGACATATCTCTACTTGGAACACACAATTGTGTATATGGTATACAAATAGTTGTAAAATAGTATGACTGCAAGAAAATATTTACTTAAAGACAACAATTTTTAAAATTTTAAAATTGTTGTCTTTAAGTAATGGAGTAAATGAGGTATTCTTTTTTGCATTTTCTATTTTCTGATAAAGAGCACATATTATGTTTATTGTAAAATATTTTATTCACATAAACAAAGCATAGGAGATAATGAATGTCAAGTAGCTACCCTGCCATTTTATCAAATTTCTAAATTTTGCTATATTTACTTTAAAATGTATATAAAATAAAACATAAAAGACAAAGTTGAAACTCCCTGTGAGGCATTTTTTTTTTTTTTTTTTTTTTTTGAGACGGAGTTTCCCACTTATTGCCCAGACTGGAGTACAATGGTGTGATCTCGGCTCACCGCAACCTCTGCCTCCTGGGTTCAGGCAATTCTCCTGGCTCAGCCTCCCAAGTAGCTGGGACTACAGGCATGTACCACCACGCCCAGCTAATTTTGTATTTTTAGTAGAGACAGGGTTTTTCCATGTTGGTCAGGCTGGTCTTGAACTCCTGACCTCTTGTGATCTGCCTGCCTTGGCATCCCAAAGTGCTGGGATTACAGGCGTGAGCCACCGCTCCCAGCCTGGCAATTTTCAAATCCTCTTTCCTGGAGGTACCCATCACTATGCATAAACTTTGGTGTTTATTATTACTTTATAAGTTATTATACTATTTCAACAAATAAATATCTAAAAACAGTAAGTATTATTTTGGAATTTTCAAGTATTATAATAATCCTATCATACTGTATCTTTGGATAATCTGCTTTTCTTAGATCCACTATTTTTTAAATGTATTCATTTTTTGAGTCTTGCAGCTCTTGTTCATTCGTTTTATCTATATGCTCTCCAATTGTTTGTATTTTCCCCTTACAGGCAACGCTACAAAAATAAAAAGTTTTGTAAAGGTGTCTTTGTGCACATGTGTAAAGATTTTTCTAACATGTATAACTACAAGTAAAATTGCTGTATCAAAGGGTATCCACATCTTTGACTATATTAGATAATTCCAAATTGCTCTTCATAGTAGCTTGGACTCCCTCCTGTAAAGTATGACAGTTCTTGTGTCTCCACATCATCACCAGCTCTTGATATTGTCTGATTTTATTTTTAATTAAAGAATGTAAAAAGGTACTTCATAGTTGTTTTAATCTGTCTTGCTTTCCCTAATAACTTATGAAGTTGAAAACATATTCGTTTATGAATTATCTATTTAGTTTTCCTCTTCTGTTCATTACCTGTTTAAATTCTACATTTTATAGTTATAAAAATAGTGTATTCCAATGAAAACAGAGTGACTCTTTAGTTAATAAGAAAACCAGTGGTGAGATGTTAATTGGGCTAGGGGCCTTCCATATTCCTTAAATACATATAGTTCTGCTTTCTTTGTGTTTCAAAGACTAATTCTAATTGCCTCAGTCATTGTTCATTGTGATCTACAAAATATGATTACATTTATAAACACAAGTGTCAACATCTCTAGGTTCAAATCCTCATTTTTTTCCTGTTTATGTGCGACTATGCACAAAAAATTTAACATCTCAGTGGCTAGGTATCCTTATCTTAAAATGAGATAATAACTCCAACCCCCAAATCCCAAATAGGATGGTTGGGAGTATATAATGATAACTGTTAATGGATGTAAAGTTGTTAGATTGGTACCTGGCATAGCACAGTTATTATTAGGCGTTATACACTTAGAGTATATTATAAATCACATGACATCTTAAGCACACTGAGATGTGAGATAAGGCTTTGCAACCACATTTTAGTTTACGTAATGTGTTTCTTCCTACACAGCATACAATTTTTAAACCACTGTTTTTGCCTCATCTCCATAGGGTTTTATTGTTACCTTTGTCCTGCTAAGCTACTTTTATTCTCTATTTTAGATAAATTTTCTCTCTACTTACATATATAGCCTTGTAAACCTTAATGAATGCTGTAAAAATGATTTGAAACTTTTTAGTCAAAGATATTGTGAAAATCTCATTGGTTTTCCTTTTCAGATAACTCAGAAAGGTGACTCTCTAGATGCAAAATCATAGCCTTTTCCAAAGTCTTAGCAAGAAATGACAATCTTAGAATATGGCTATAACTGAAAATGTCATTTGATTGCAATGGAACAAAATAATATCCCTGACCCTGCTTCTAAAAGCTAGGTTAAAAGCTTCAAATCCAGAGACATCCCTTGTAATTGACTGTGAAGCCCCTAAACTACTAAAAATTGAGGGATCAGGATAGAAAATTATAGAAGCAGCAAGGTATAGTTGATGCCTGAGAGCACTAAAATCTAATCACAAAACTGAACACAAGACAGATGCAACCACATTTTAAAATAATCTCTAATATTTCTTCTATGTGACCTATTCATAGCTTGAGTCTCTCTTTGCTATTCATCAAGAGAAAATACCCAGAGTGATAAAGACAATGAACTTTCAAATTTGTTATCACTTTTTTTCTTCCTCATAATCTAAACATTATATTTGGAAACCATTATTTTTACAACTTGTCCAGCACTAATTCCTGTCTTCTTTCCAGTCCTTTTATTTCCCATGCTCTAAAGTTGCATATGTATTTTAATGAGCAGACTTTTTATTTTTTTATTCAAAAAGTTTTCTTGGATTTCGAGTAAACAAGATAAAAATAATTTTAAAATTGAAATAAAGCACATGTTTAAAAACCTGAATGCATTGAACTTGTGAACTGCACAACAAATATCCCTAAGGAGGAGAGTTAATCATTCAGCTCTAGGAAAGGCAGTGCTCAAAGAAAAAAGCAGAGGCTCAAAAACATCAGAAAATGATGCTCTTCTTAAGAAAAATAATGAAAATCTAGGAAAAAGTGCCATTTTAATCTATATTTTAAATTACAAATCTTCTATTTGCTTGCTATAATAAATTCAAATAAGACAATATATATGATGGTAAAACTGAGTCCTCATTCTTCTCCAGAGTCACCTCCAAATATTACTGCTTCTACAGTTTTGCTTTTGTATTTTCAAGATTGTTTGAAATACAAGTATATAGTCATATCAATATTTTAAAGTGATGATATATATACTTATTTAAATATACATGTGTTGGCAGGGCGCGGTGGCTCATGCCTGTAATCCCAACACTTTGGAAGGCTGAGGCGGGTGGATCACAAGGTCAGGAGATCGAGACCATCCTCGCCAACATGGTGAAACCCCGTCTCTACTAAAAATACAAAAATTAACTTGTCATTGGTGGCGCAAGCCTGTAGTCCCAGCTACTAGGGAGGCTGAGGCACAAGAATCTCTTGAACCTGGGACTCACAGGTTGCAGTGAGCCAAGATGGCACCATTGCACTCCAGCCTGGTGACAGAGCGAGACTCCATCTCAAAAGAAAAAAAAAATTATATATATATATATATATATATATATATATATATATATATATATAAATATACACACACACACGTGTGAAAACATATATATTTCCACTGTAATTTATTTTCACTGAAGTATATATCATGGATAACTTTAACAAACATTCTTTAAACTATCTCATTATTTTTAAATGCAGCAGAGTATTTTAATATATCATTACACCATAATGTATGTATCCATCCTCCTACTTATAGACCTTTGTATTGTCTATTTCTTATTGAAAAGTTTGAATATGATTACACAAAAATATTTGTATACTTAAACAAAAATATACATATGTCATATAAGAACATTTGCCTAAAATGTAATTACTTAGTTATGAGATATAATCATTTTAAGTGTGCATAGATCCAAAGAAACTTCCAGATATATTGCGCCAATTGGTATTCCTATAAAAAGTATGAAGATGACAAGTTCCTCATAAAATTGTTAATATTTGAAGTAATCAAGCCTTTCTAAGCTGTGCCAATCTGATAGATTTAAAAATGGTATTCTTTTAGCTTTCAACTTCCATTTTCTTGACATCGAGAGGGTCTCAAACTCCTGGCTTCAAGCAATTCTCCTTCCTTGGCCTCCCAAAGTGCTGATGTTATAGGCATGAGCTACTGGGCCCAGCCAAGGTTAAGGATTTTTTTATATGTTTAACGCTTACACATATACCTTGCTATATATTTTGGTACATATATGTTGTGTGTCTGTGGCTCTTGTTTATGAGGTAATTTATGATATAAAAATTTTCACTTTTTAAGTAATCAAATCTGAAAAAGGAAATTTAGTAATACCTTTAGACATTTTATTCTCTAAAATATCATCTCCTAAAAATATTTCGTAGTACATTTTACTACATCATTGGAAAAAAAACTTGAATATGTTAGAAACTCAAGTTCTAGTCCAATTGTTTCTTATATTTGTTGTGTGATTTCATAAGATCTGTTAACCACATCTAGAGACATCCCAGCAATCTTGAGATTCTTGAAGGAACAATTCATAAGGATCCCCATCTGCTACCTGCATTAAGGCCTAAAATCTCTAAAACTTCTAAACAGATCATTATCCTTAATCTAGATTTCTTTTCAGCCCTTTACAAGGACTTCTCAAACATAATGTGCTTAAGAATCATCTGGAGATGTTGTAAAACTGCAGGTTCTAACTCACTAGGTGTAGGGTAGGGCCTGAGATTCCACATTTCTGACAAATTCCCAGGAGATGCTAAAACTGCAGCTCTGTGGACCACACTTTGAATCCCAGGCCCTAGAATCATTCTTTACATGAAAGGAACTGCAGGATAGTTCCAATTATGAAAACAATTGGTATTACCAGTAATGGTGACTATAACATAGTTCCCATTCATATGGCATTTCAGTTGACAGAGCACTTTGACATTTGTTAACTCCTTCTGATATTCACAATAACCCTCCACCCCCATGAAGGCAGGGCATTAATTATTCAGAGGAGAAAATGAAGGCGTGTTAACATCCATGCTCAGTGTCACACAGCTAGTAAGAGACAAGGTGATCTGTGAGGTTAACTCAGACATAGAGACAATATAACACAATGGCTAAGAGAACAGGCTTTAAAGTCAGAAAGATCTGAATATTGTCTCCTTCACATTTTAATTGTGTGCATTGTACGAGTTACTTAACCTCTCTATTTTAGTTCCTCATTTATAAACTGGACATGCCTATTTCATATACTTGTTAGATTTAACAACCTCTAAAATGCCTGGTACAAGTGTCTATCACGTGTTAGTCCCTAAATAAATGGTAGCTGCTGCTGCTATTTGGCATCTTTATTATCCCAGAAAATTCTGCTGAATTGTTGTAGATACTTCCTATCCTCGCAAAATCTTCGTGCCCATCTAAGAGAATATTTAACTTTCCTGCAGCACTTGACCACCATGGGCTCTATATAAAATACATGACAGGATTAGACACTTGGAGTGAGCCTCTTCATCGCGTCTCTATTAAGCTGGATATGTGGGAGGACTTGCAGTGTAGCTGCCTATTGATGTGTCGTTACGTATACAAAGAATTTCTGCCTGCAGAGTTTCTGCTATAGCTTTCAGAAGCCCACAAATGCATGCACGTTTTCTCCAAGTGTAGAATAGGAGTTATTTTTTGATAGTGGGATACTAGTGGACTATTATACTTAGCTAAGCTTCAGATGATTTCACCAGTTATGATTTCTGCAAAAAGTAACTAAGCAGCGTCACTAGAAAAAGCTGAAAAATGATATCTATGTCAGGGACAGATAATGAGAAAAGCAAAACAAAGGAAAATGCTGTACCATATTGATAGTGTGTGGGGTATGACTTATGAAAGTGTCTCAATAATTAGAGTTGTCATTTATGAATTCTAATATCGAGGCTATGACAATACACTTTTTAAATGTCTTAAAAATTTTCATTTTCTCCTGGGTTTTTTCATCAAATGAAATAAAGTTGCAATATTTTTTCTATTTGAAATTTATAACATTTTTCTGTAACATTTCTCAGTTCTATGGTTGGGAAGTTCATAGTTCTAGGTGTTTTGACTTCCAATCATTTCTCATCCAACTGGATCACTATTAACATGAGTTTTACTGCTATAATTTTTTCAGAGATCCCTGGTATGCAAGAAAAATAGAAACAAAGAAAGTATAGGACAAAGATAAAGATGTAAGATGTAAGATCAATTTTAGGGTAAAAAAATACAAGATTCTGATTTTATAGGACTGTCAGTGAGGCAAACAGTTGGTCAGCTCAAACACTCAACTGTTATTTTGATGGAATATTTGATTGATTCACTGTAAGCAACTTAACTATTGATGTGTGAGATAGAATTTAGGCAACATTTGCCATCATAGGGGACTGGGCTGCTGGATCAGGGAACAGATAAAATGCCTATTCTCTCTGTATGAAAAGAAGTAATAAGGACTGTGTACTACATAAGAAAAAGAGCTAGCAGATGAGATAAAGGCAAAAAATTATTTGCACACTTTCACCAAGTTGCTTAAAAAATAGGTCAACAAGAATGTCTAATATAACAAAACTTAGCAATGATATTTCATATACAAAGTAGGATACAAAATTTTAGTTGCTGTAACATATCTATAATTTCAAAACATACACATATACATATATAGAAAATGAGATGAAATACAACAAAATTTTAACTGTGTTTAGACTATAAGATGATTTTCATTTGAGTATATTCTATATTTTTCAGTGTTCAAACAGTTCACAAATTACTTTTATACCAAAAATATGATAAACAAAAAAATTCATAAGCAAGAAACAACATTTTAAACCTAAAAGGAGAACAGATGATCTTTGAAGTCACTTTGGCCTAGGGTTTTTTGCATTCTGCCACTCGGTCAGTTTAGTCTATAATATGCTATGGTATCAGGCAACCCCAAAGTCTCACTGGCTTGACAAAACAAAAGTTTATTTTTCATACATGCAAAGTCCACCGTGGCTGCAGGGAAGCTGCACTCCATCTGGTAACTAAACATTCCAGACTAATGTGCTCTTATGGCTCCTCCGCAGAAACACATGCTTCTACAATCTACATAGCACGGGCAAAGAAGGCTGGAAAAGTGAGCATCAGCAATTAAGCACTTCAGTTCAGAAGTGGCATTCATCATTGCAGCCCACATTTTATTGCCAAGATCAGTCACATGACTGGTAAAGTGGAGTCCTCCTTGTTCTGAAATCACAGGAGAGACAGATGAAGTGTTGGTAAACTTTAGAATTATCTAACATAGCCATTAGCCTCCTGGCAGGTCATTAGGCAATGGACTTCCCTCATCTATGTAATAGCCTCATTTCATGGTCAGTGCCACAGTGCCTGGCATGGAGTAAGGAATTAGTAAATATTTATTGTATTCTCCCTTTGCCTACAGCTGAAGCCAAATATATAAACTGTTCTAAGTCATCTATTATTCAGCATTACCATTCCTCCTACCTTTAAGTTATCTGACATGATATTGGTAACTACATTTTATTTGGGTTTACAACACAATTATTTTTCTTGTTGTATTACACCTTCTAAAACAGGGTGTTCAATAGGTCCATGTGAATTAGTGATTTGTTCACAAAGCTCAATCTCCTTTTCTACCATCTCCTTTTCTAAGTGCCAGGAACAATTGATCTCCCAACGGCAGATACTAAAAAAAAGAATAGCAAAGTACTTGACCATCCTGTTAGCTTCATCTGCTCCCATCAGCCCAAGTCAGCAATTTCATCTTACTGAACAGGGTCAAGTGTAGATGACTCATTGACTTAGAAGATCTCCCTAAGGAAGCATGTGATGTGGTGGAAAGTGAATGATCTTTGGCATCAGACAAATGCACATTCAGACCTTATCTCTACTACCTATGTTCCATGCAATCTCAGGCAACTGACCTAGCCTCACTGAACTTCGAATTTTTCATCAGAAAAATGGAAATAAAAATATTTACCCATTAGATGCTTTAAATTTTCCATGTTGCATCTCTTAGGCTCACTTCTAATTTCAGTCCTAACTTTGATAAACAACTGAGTCAGCTTCCAGTGTCCCACCTCAAAGATGTTTCTCTACTTTTCTCCTTTAGGGCCATCTCCCATGGTGCTGTTCAACTCAGTGGAGCTTAGCTGGAGTGGAGGGAAATTAACAGCTCCTGGGGACAGAAATAATCAGTAAATGTCCCAGCCTTCTATTATTTAGACTGATTTTGAGAAGCATGTCCTACACTTTTCAAAGTACTGGTGGACCCAAGCCTGCATTCCCCATAGAAGAATCCTCAATGGCATACCCATATGTGCTTTTCCTTCTTCCCTTTTCCCCTGCTGCTTCAGTCCTGTGTCTGTGAATCACATTCCATATAAACTATACTCAAGTTCTTGCCTCAGGTTCTGCTTTGGGACAAGCCAAACTTAGATTGTAACAAATTTTGGAAAGCCTCTAATATTTCTTTTAAATATGTTATAGTAAAATTTCAAGGCTAACGTGTTCTTGTGCAGTGATTAATCTTAAATAAACCCACACACTTCTGGTGACACATTCATGTTTTGACATGACTTTTCTATTTGTAATTCCTCATCATAATACCAGGTGAGTGAGTACAATGGATGGTAATATTCCTGAAATTCATTCCTATATGAGGATAGCTAGAAATAGCTAATTATATTCACAAGTGACTGTGAATCTCATAAATATAACCCATGAATCCAAACTAAAATGTATTTCCAGCTGAACTGCCCTTAAGTAGGTCCCCACAGTTGTGGCCACTTCAAGATTATACAACACGAGGAAAACTGTGACAGAAGACTTTGTCATGAAAAAAAAATGGTATATTTTAAGTTAGAGTTACACTATCTTACTTTAGAAGACTTGACAAAAACATAAGGTCATGTGAACACATTGGTAGGGCTCTTCTGAGGACCTTGGAAGGGCTCAGTGTAAATTAGGAGCCCTGAAGCTTAAGCTACATGAGCTTTATGATAAATTCACCTTGAGTCATGGCTATTAATAAGTCATTATTGGATGACAGCAAGACTGGAAGAGAAAGAGGAATAAAGAGGAGCAGATCTTCCTATGGTACTATTTTGCATTCCGTGTGGAAAATGTAGTCTGAAGTCATACAGTAAACCTTTTATTTTTTCGCTCAATTATTAAAATCTTAATTTAAAAATGCATGTAGAACTTTCTTACAAGAGTAAAGAAAAAAAGATAAGGTTTTAAATTTTAAGCATGTACTTATTCTAGAGAGTGAATTGGAAATGCAACAAGAGGATAAGTAAAGCTTTATTCATTTGGCACTTGTGATTTTTCATATATGGGTGTGAAACTAAAGAAAGAATTTGACAAATAAAGGATTTTAAGAGAGTAATAAAATAAAGTGGCAGTCTTTTCAAACATTTTACATATAATGAACATGGTAATCACACTTTTATTTCTAAGTGTCATTGTAGATCCACTGCTTAGTAATGCTATAGTTGTCCAATTAAAGTGTTGCTTGCATTTTAAAAAAGTCATTTCTTTCCATGCATTTTGTGTGCATTTCAGATTAGTCTTTCTTCTAATTAGTGAATGTTTGTCAGTTTGCAGTTACATCATGTATGTTTAAGACTGATGATACAGCTGCTTAATGTATAATCCTAAAACAAAAGCATAGAGAAATATGGTAAAAAGAAAATTAAAAGGCAAGGAACTATATTAGTCTAAAGGTAACAACATTCTGTAAAATAATCATGCTTCTTATTCAATAGAAGCTGTCAAATTTTCATCCCTCAAATTTATCATCCTTTTGTGTTCATAGAATAACAATAAGTAGTTTATCAGGTAAAATTATATAAAACTGATATATCCAGCCACCAAAAGAAAAAGAAAAGCAAACCTTTCTCTGAGTGAGATAGTTAGCTTGCTAGCTAGAGATACACAAACATGTGCACAGAAGGACCCCTTATTGAGAAACTGTCTTGTTCACAGTATCATAGAAAATTTGGAAAAAAAGAGCATTTTTTCCATCCATCCCCAACACGTGGCCAGCTAGCCCCTCTTGTTCTGCGCGACCTACTCACATCATGGGACCATATGTGTTTCACAGCCTAATAGAAGTTAGGCAACTGAAGTTGTCACTTCTTCCCAGCCCTCCCTGGCTGTAGTGTGAGGACCCAGGATGATAACATGGGGTTGGAGAAAGGATGGAGTTTCAGTAAGCAGCAGAAACAAGTGTTCACTTTCATGCTTCAGAGCTGACGGGGTAGCACACCATGTAGGAGAACGTGGAAAACAAGTGCTGTGACTTGAGAAGTTCCCAGCAAAGGTCCCAGAGTCCTAAGTTAGCATGTTAGGATTAGGGTGCCTGCCTCCAAGCACACTCTGGGCCTCACTTGCTTCATAGCAAATTGAAGTATAGTGCATAAAACAGGACCAGTGGTCACACAGAAAGATTATTGAAGCTATTTTCCTTTTGGAAGAGTTTTCTCTTTCATTCTCTAACCTGGCTAAAGAACATGTTAAATATTTCTAGTCATGGCTTTGTGAAACTTAACTAGTTCTTAATCTCAAAAAGTGAAGCAATATGGTAGTCTGAAGCATGAACAAAGTACAAAAAAAGTAATGTCATTTGTCTCATAATACCCACTTTCTGGCTTGCTGTGGCATAATTCTAGACCTATAACACTCTTCAGTGAAGTGAAAAGATGTACCAGCCTGACAGATGCAGTCAAAGCTGCGTCCATAGCAAACCCCAGCATTAGCAATTCATTTAGCTTAATGAGTTGTTGTACATGCCTGGGAATTCCTTTCCCTCAGCTGGAAACCCCTGAAATTCTTAAGTCTAACACACTTCTGAAAACTGTTTTCATGCTTTTGATGTTAGATGAGATAATGAGAACTTGCAGTATCCCAAGCAAAATACATTTCAGAAGTTAACCTGCTCAAAAGGGGATACCCCAATGACTTCCAAAAGAAAAAGATGACACAGAAATCTTCATCATAAATATCCTTTATGTTCTCCAAAGGATGGCAGTTAATTAAGAATAATTGACTATATATATACCAGAAACTCATTTTGGCTTAGCTAATTATTGGCAGGGTCAAAAACATTTTGTGGAATAAAGAGACTGTGGTCCCTGACTTTTCTTCATGTGTCTGTGGCTGACACATCTGGCTGATAAGCCGAGAACATCCATGCCCAGGAGCTGGGGACAGGGTCTGGAGAGAGAGACCCAGTTTTCTGCCCTGTGATGCAGAAACTAAATCCCATTCATTAGTGGGTATCTCCACCTGAATCTCTCAAAGACATCTCAAATTTGAACTTACTTCCCAGAATCTGAGCCATGTATTTTAATACCTTATTTTTAATTGCACTTTTAGGTTACAGAAAAATTGAATGCAAAATATAAAGAGTTCTTCCTATGTACTTCTTATTCCTCCATATGCACAAGCTCCTCTACTAAGAATACCTCATACTACAGTGATACTTTTTTTTTTTTTTTTTTTTTTTTTTACAATAAATGAACCTGCATTTACACATCATCACCCAAAGTCCATAGTCCATGTTAGTGCTTACTCTTGCTGTTACACATTCTATGGATTGGGATAAATGTAGAACGACATGCATCTACTGTTGTAGTATCATATAGAGTAGTTTCCCTGCCTTAAAGATCCTCTGTGCAAGGTCTATTCATCCCTCTCTCCATCATCCTTTGGCAACCACGGATATTTTCACAGCCTCCATAGTTTTGCTTTTCCAGAATATCACATAGTTGGAATCTATACAGCATGTAGCCTTTTTCCACTGGCTTCTTTCATTTAGTGATATGCGTTTACATTTCTTCCACATCTTTTCATGGCTTTCTCACTTTTTAGCACTGAATAATATTCATTGTTTGGATATACCACATTTTTTTAAACAATTTACCTACTGAATCCATTGATCACTGGAGTGAATACCAATCCTCCTCAGAAACACGGTAGTCAGTCTAGATTTCTTCCCTCTCTTACCTCCATATTCAATGTAACTTGTCTCCTGAACATGTCTGAGATTTGTCTCATTCACTTCTACTGCCTTCCCATACCACCATTAAACTAATTTAGGCTCTCATCATTTCCTGCTTGAAGTGAAGCAACATAACAGTTCTGTCACTTCCTATCAAACTCTATTTTTCTAACCAAACAATGTGTGCCTTCCACTACTGCTGGAATTCATTCTGGATCCTAAGGTTGATCATGACTCCTTTCCTTAATCCCTGATGGCCTTCTATAAACTTAGCAAACATGAGGTGTGCTATGACCTGGTTCCTGCGTACCTGGCCAAATCCATTCTTAAATACTTCTCGTTTTCCCTTTCTGCACTGACTGCTATACCTCATACTTTAGAGGCACTGCATTGCTTATTTCTCACTGACCTGGCCATGTTTTCCCTTTCTCTCTGGCTCTGAACATGAGGCTCCAGTTTTGGGGGCTGGTCTTGTAGCACTTTTCTGGCTAAGTCAAGCCCTTTTCTCAGAACTCAGCTTATAGTTCACTTCTGCTTGAAAGACTTTCCTGACATATCCCATCTGTAGTAAAGAGCCATATGTGTTTCCATATATACCAGACTATTTATTATACTTCACTATAATTTAATTTCTTTAATTATTGGATACTCTTCAAGTATCCAAGACCATAAACGGGGGGCTGCTCAGAGGTAACGGTCAGCATGGGATCCCTCCATGGTACTCAATGACCCTCTTGAGGAAGATCTTTTTCTCTCCACCTCGAGGACTCCTAGGCATTCACCACTTATTGTCCGGTCTGCTTTGCTCCTTCCTCCCCTAAGGCCAGTATTAGCTGATGAAAACATTACACTTCCAGCTCAAATCTGAATATATCTGATTCAAACTTTGGTTGGTAGTTTCACTGACATGCATTCTGGCTTTTGACATGGGATTATGAAGGGAAAACTTGCCTTGGGCATGCCAGTGAACATTTGGGTGGGGGAGAGAGTGTACTGGAGAGTATAAATATGCGGCAAGTATGCAAACTAGACTTCCACACATAAAACACCACTATACAGTCAGTACTGGTTTTAAAGATCTAAGTGTTTAATATTATTCTTACAGTGAAGAAAAATATTGCTCATTGTTTTATAAATTAAAATTAGGCTATAGATCATGCTAACTGATTAAAACCAATTAGGAATAAATTAGAAATACCATTCTTATATGATTATATCTTATGAATTTAAATACTTTTTTCAGTCAGTGAATTTCAACTTGGAATAAAGATATTACATTAAAAGGGCTTATTTTCATGCCTATTAATGATCTTCCAAGCAGTCATTTTTGTTCATTGGCAAAAAAATAAAAATAAAAAAAGAGGCTGTTTCAGGTATTAACACTTTTGTTCTGACACATGGTCTTTGTTTCTAGTCAATCATCTGCAGTATTAAAAGTAATCAACCTGCTTTCTAATTTAACTCAGAGCTTCTGAGAAGTGATTTCTCTCTTTTCATAGTAAAACTGCATCCTGTGATCAAATATCACTTTATTCCTGCCAGGACAAAAGCCTTCTGGCTTGTTAGCAATTCAACATAGCCATGCCAACCAACATCATTGTCTAAAATATTTTTAAAGATGGGCACATATATCTATATGTGAAGAATTTCTCTAGAAATCTCTAGGTATCTCACAAGCCAAGGAATAAAGTATTGTGCTACCAAGGATCTTAGTGTAAACGAATTAAGAGACATAGCTACATTTATATTTGGGAGTTTGCCTTCCTCTAAATGAACTTAAAATGGGAATGAAAATTATAAAATAATAATCCAATGAAATGCATCTTTAAAATGTAGTATAGTGATACATGGTAAAAGTAGTATATGAGAAAATATTGCAAGGTCATAAAGACACATTTTTACACAGGTTAATAACAAGGTTGTTGATAATTTTTTTGATTTTGCCTGAGTCAGGGTCCCAGTAGGAAACAGATGGCACACTCAAATTAGGAAAATTTGAGGATGGTTTCATGAAGGAGTATTTAGGACTGTATAGCCAAGGAGTAGAGAAACCATAAAGGAGAGTGGGGAATGCCGAGCCTAACAGTAGAGGAGCTTTTTATCATTCCCAGTGCCTAAGGGGAGAAGGCAGTCAGCAGTTGCCAAAACCTATAGTGAGAGAGCCAGCTGTGTAGAAAGGACTGCCTGGAGAGGACCCGCGACCTTCCATATGGGAATCCAACCTAGCAGGGGACGTGATACAGGAATGAAGCTGGGGGCATACACAGCCCAAACTCATTCTGCTCCTTCCCACTCATCTCTTGCTAGAGTTGCTCATTGGCTGAACTCAGATGGTCATCAGAAGGTAATATTACTCCATTGAAATCCATACAGGTCCACCTCCTTGGGATGAGAGGCAGGTGGAAATAGATTGAGAGTACATCTGAAGAAGTAACACAAAGTATCCACCAGAACTACTAATATTAAACATCATATGCTGTGTGAATAAACCACACCAAGAATTTTCACTTAAATATTCTGTGAAGCAAGAAATTAATTCAGTATCATCAAAAGCCTCAAAGCTAAGAAATAATCATATAGGGCTTCTCACTATTAGATATGTACAGATATTGGCAGAATATAATTTTGTGATTCAGGTTTATTAATCAATATAAACATTCAGACAAAATAGATGGGGGGTTACCCCAGGAATAGAATATATTTTGGCCCAGATGTTCTGTTTTTCATATTAATTACCACCCCTTTTCATTCTCATTGCTATCATTATACAACTTCCAAATACCACCATTTACACTCAGTGTTTCTAATGCCTTTTATTTACTTTCCATTTATCCAAGCACTTGTCCATTATCCTATTTATTTATTTATTTATTTATTTATTTATTTATTTATTTATTGAGACAGAATCTTGCTCTGTCACCCAGGCTGGAGTGCAGTGGTGCGATCTCGGCTCACTGCAACCTCAGCCTCCCAGGTTCAAGCAATTCTCTGCCTCAGCCTCCCAAGTAGCTAGGATTACAGGCGCCTGCCACCACGCCCAGCTAATTTTTGTATTTTTAGTAGAGACGGGGTTTTCCCATCTTGGCCAGGCTGGTCTTGAACTCCTGACTTCGTGATCCTTCCACCTCGGCCTCCCAAAGTGCTGGGATTACAGACGTGAGCCACCGTGCCCAGCCTCCCATTTATTTATTTACTTATCAAATATTTAATACAGCTAACTCTATGCCATCTCTGCTCAACTCTTCAATGCCCATATTGATAACCTTTCTAGCACATTAGACTTCAGTGACAAAATCTTATCCCTTTTAAATATGTGGAGCTTTTCAAAACTAAAATCTCAAGATCAGAAATCACTTTCTGACTATAACTTACTACCTATGTCTTTCATATTCTTTTTTTAAAAAAATATTTTTAATTATAACTGATTTCTTAGCCACCTAACTCCACCTGCTGAACATGGTAATCAACCATCTCAAGAAAGCCCTTGCTGCCACTAGAATGTATGTCTTCTTTGACTACTCCTTATATCTCCCCTTTAAAGTCCTTAGTTCAGGATACACTCCCTATGACCACTTCCCAGTTGCCAAAGTTTCTTTGGGAAATTGATGAAAATGCATATATTGGGTGAACATGAATTCAGGATTTCAACCCTATTTTTATGTTCTGAAGACTTTTTATTCATCTCTCCTTGATTTTCCATACATTTTCTTATAGTATTATGCCAAAATTATCAGCCTTCTCAAATTCTTTTCTTTTCAGAGTTGGTATTAAAACTTATATATGCTGTACCTGTTTTATTTCCTGGAACTCCCATCCCCAGGCCAACTCTTTATCTAGATCCTAGATAACCCAGTCTATTAACCCAATTATGCCTGAGGTTGCAATTTTTTGAATTTTTGCAATCAGACTTTGGAGGTATCTTTGAGAAGTAGGATATAAATAACTCTCCCATGCTTAGCATTCCAATAATGGAACACTAGGCATAAAAGTCTAACAACATGCTTCGGATTTTAATTTCTTACCTGCCAACATTAACACATCATAATAACTCAAATAGTTTATAACTTGAAGCAGTCAACCTCTCATTTGATGCTATCCATGTCCTATATGTGAATTTTCCACTTGTACAAGCAGGCTGCTCAGTGCTGTTGAAAAAACAGCACAATTATGAGGATGCTTTTTATTTTCTCTAGTCAACTAGGGTTTTTTCCTTTTTCTTGGGACAGTGGTTCTAAATCAGCAGCACTCTCCCAAATGCCCTATTTAATTGCCTTGCCTCTGAATTCACAATTGAAACAGAAGCCATAAGAAGTATACTCTCTTGACTCTCCTCACCCCACATATATCCGTAATTACAGCTATTGTTTTATATGCCCTCTTATTCCTTGAAAATGAAATGTCCTAACTGTCTCTGGAATGAATGCCCTATCTTTGTGTGAATTCTGAGTTCCAACCCTTCCTTCTCTGTTCCTCCAAGACTTTGCTGTGTTATATACCCTCCTTTCCCAATATCTTGTTTCTTTCTCACTTCACAAATGCCCAAGATTTTTCCGTCTTCATAAAATAGGTATACCAGAAAGATTATTTTGAGTTTTATGTTCCCATTTAGCCATTCCTCTTTTTCTTTTTCTAGCCAGCTTTCTAATGTCAACCCTTCCTCGTCTACGACTTACAGCTCACCTATTTACATCTACTATGTACAATTGAAGTTCTGTTTCAACAGACACAGAAATTGTGCTTGAGTTTAGGAATGGTCAATCCAATCGACACTCGCTAGCCTTTTTCTTGCTTCATCTCGCTTTGGCTTTGACATTAATTATCATTTCTAAGTGCTTAAAGTCACTATTCTCTCGATTGCTTAATATTAAAATCTGGCAGTTTTCATCCAATACAGGCATGCCTCACTTTATTGTGCTTCACATATACTGAGTTTTGTTATTTTTTTGTTTTTGTTTTTGTTTTTTACAAAGTAAGGACTCTGTGACCAGCAATTCTATGGGTGTCATTTTTTCAACAGTGTGCATTTCTGTGCCACATTTTGATGATTCTCATACTTTAAACTTTACCAGTATTAGTATATGTTATGCTGATTTATAATCAGTGACCTTTGATATTACTACTGTCATTGTTTTGGGATGTCACAAACTGCACTCGTATGAGATGGCAAGCTTAATGGATACATATTGTGAGTGTTCTGACTGTTCCACCAACCAGTAATTCTCCTTTCTCTCTCTCTGTCTCTCTCTTTCTCTGGGCCTATTTCCTGAGACACAATGATAATGATACTGATATTAGGCCAATTCAAAATAATAACCCTATTATTATGGCCTCTAAGTGTTCAAGTAAAAGGAAGAGTCACACATCTCTCACTTTAAATCAAAAGCTAGAAATGATCAAGCATCGTGAGGAAGGCATGTTGAAAGCTGAAACAGGTCAAATGCTAGGTCTCTTGCACTACTTAGCCAAGTTGTGAATGCAAAGGAAAAGATCTTGAAGGAAATCAAAAGTGCTACTCCATTGAACACCCCAATGATAAGCAAGTGAAATAGGCTTATGGCTGATATGGAGAAAGTTTGGTCCAGATGGATCAAACCAACCACAACATTCTCTTAAACCAAAGACTAATCCAGAGCAACGCCTAACTCTCTTCAACTCTATGAAGGCTGAAAGAGGCGAGGAAGCTGCAGAAGAAAAGTCTGAAGCCAGCAGAGGTTGGTTCATGAGGTTTAAGAAGCCATCTCCATGTCAGAGAAGTGCAAGATGAAGCAACAAGTGATGATGTAGAAGCTGCAGCAAGTTGTTCAGAAGATGTATCTAAGATCATTGATGAAGGTCGTTACACTAAACAATGGATTTTCAATGTACATTGAACAGCCTTCTACTAGAAGATGCCATCTAGGAATTTCATAGCTACAAAGAAATTAATTTCTGGCTTCAAAGCTTCAAAAGATAGGCTGACTTTCTTGTTAGGGAATCTTGCAGGTGGTGACTTTAAGTTGAAGCCAATGCTCATTTATCATTCTAAAAATCCTAGGGCCCTTAAGAGTTATATTAAATCTACTCTGTCTGTTCTCTAGAAATGGAAGAACAAAGCCTAGATTATGGCACATCTGTTTACAACATGCTTTAATGACTATTTTAAGCCCACTATTGAGACCCTGCTGCTCAGAAAAAAAGATTCCTGTCAAAATATTACTGCTCATGACAAATGTGTCTGGTCATCCAAGAGCTCTGACGGAGATTTACAAGTTGATTAATTTTTTTTCATGCCTGACAATACAACATCCATTCTGCAGTCATTGGATTAAGGGGTAATTTCAACTTCCAAGTCTTATATTTTAAGAAATACATTTTGTAAGGTTATAGCTGCCATAGATAGTGATTCCTCCAATGAATCTAGGCAAAGTCAATTGAAAATTTTCTGGAAAAAATTCACCATTCTAGATGCCATTAAGAATATTTATGATTCATGGGAAGGGGTCAAAATATCAACATTAACAGGAGTTTAGAAGAAATTGATTCCAAACCTCATGGATGAGTTTGAGGAATTTAATACTACAGTAGAGGAAGTAACTTCTGCTGTGGTGGAAATAGCAAGATAACTGGGATTATAAATGGAGCCTGAAGATGTGACTAACTTGCTATAATCTCATGATGATACTTTAATGGATACGAAGTTGTTCCTTAAGGAAGAGCAAACAAGGTGGTTTTTTTTTTTTTTTTAGAAAGAATCTACTCCTGGTGAAGATGCTGGGAACATTGTTGAAATAACAACAATGAATATAGAATATACACAAATTTAGTTGATAAAGCAGTGGCAAGGTTTGAGAGGACTGTCTGCAGTTTTGAAAGAAGTTCTCCTGTGGGTAAAATGCCATCAAACTGCATCACATGCTATAGAGGAATCTTTTGTAAGTCAATTAATGTGGCAAACTTTATTGACGTCTCATTTTAAGAAATGCCCATAGCCATCCCAATCTTCAGAAACTACCACACTGACCAGCCAGCAGCTGTCAACATCAAGACCCTCCACTAGCAAAAATAATCACTAAAGGCTCAGATGATCATGAGCATTTTTTGGCAATGAAATATTTTCAAATTAAGGCATATATGCTGTTTTTAGATATAATTATATTGCATACTTAAACTACAGTATAATGTAAACATAGCTTTTATATACACTGGAAAACCTAAAAAATTGTGAGACTCACCTTATTGTAGTGGTCTGGAATTGAACCTACAATGTGTCTGAAGTATGCCTGTACTCCTTCTTAAGGTCAGTTTCACCTACACCCAAGCAACCCCAAGTCCTATTAATCTTGTTTAAATATTATCCAAACACTTTTCTCCCTTCCCATTACTCGTTTAATTATTTATTTTAAAATATCCCCATAGTGTTATAGTGTCTATTTAAATCCCTTCTCACTCACCCCTGAAAGTATCCCTCTGTTTTGATCACAGGAATATTTCTAAATAAAATTTTGATCATATGTGCAATTGTCTTGTAATACCTAAACACTACAGCATAATGTTCATAGTAGTTTATGATCTATTCTTTGTTTATAATCACTTTCTGAATTTCTTGAGGATCTCCCATACTGAGAAACTTTTACTTTTCAATGTCTAACTTTGTTTTTCTGTTAAAAAAAAAAGCACCACTACTGTTGAGAATTCCCTCTCTGCATCTTTCTGTGCCTACTATTTAAGTACTCACTTATTCTCCAGAAAATCAGGAAATCACCACCTACTCTATGAAACCCTCACTCAGCTCCTTACTTTAGTCTAAAGACTGAGGTATATCCCAGAGATACCACAGGTTCGGTTCCAAAGGCTACTCCTGGATACGCATATTGTCTTGCAGATGCTTCTATTGCAATGAAAAATGTATTTAACTTTCTGCCTTTCTTACTAGTTATGAACATTTTGAGAACACAAAATGCATCTCATCATATATCCATAGCACCTAGCATATGCCCAGAAAATAGATGTTCATAGGTATTTGTGAAATGAATAAGAGACATTTGTCAACCTCACGCCTTACCTGATGGAGATCTGTTTTTCCCTCTGTCCTTCCTTTCTCAAAATCTCTCTAGATCAATATGCAGAGCTCCTCGTTAGTCAGGCTGAATCTCGATCTTTACTCTGAATTGTATTGAGACACTGGGTTCCCATTTTCTCATATTTGCTACTTTTGTCTTTAACTTCTTTCTATTGCTTGCTTCCCTTCCATCCACCACACCAACATTCTTCATATCTACATTCCCACACATCTTCTTAATTATACTTCCCTGTCAGGTTCGAATTTAGATTTTTTGCCCTCTAATCCATCGTCAAAACTTTTGACATTATTTCCTGCATTTGTATTCATTTCTTCATCATTTGTGTATTCCCTAATCTGGGTATATATTTTCACTAGACATATTTTTTAGAGCCCTCATGCTTCATAACCTTTTTAGTATTTGCTATTATTAATTTTTTTTTTGCTAAAAACATCTATCTCCTTAGTCTGGAGATTTGAAATACTAAATCATTTTTCCATCTATTCCACCAGCTTTATTATTCTGAAGATGAAGAAATGCAGGTCACTGAAAAGGCCTTCCTCATCATTTCTATATTATTATAAAAATAGCTCTTATCATTCCTTGGCTTAAAACTGGCCAGTAGTTTCTTAGTGAAGTAAAAATAAATTTCAAAACTCTTATCATGGACTGGAAAGCCCAAGATGACCCTGATCCTGCTTCAATAAATCTCACACTTTGTTAGGTACCACTTTTAGTTTCCCCATGACGCTAGGCTCTACCCTCCCTGCTATAACTGACATCCACAGCACACACTTCCTTAGGAGCTTTTTATCTAACTATTCACTCTTCCTAGATCTTTGCATGGCTCAAGCTTTAGCTCAAAGATCACCACTTCAGAGAAGCTTCCCTTAGCATTCGTATATAAGAACCATCTCTCACCCCAGTCATCCTTTAGGGGATACTTAGAGATAAACCTCAGGAAAGAGAAAGAAAAAAAAAAAGAAAGATATGGAATCCAGGAAAATAGGGAAACCCATTTGTGAAGGCAAGTCCTCTTATAAGAGCTATTTAGTTAGGCCCAGAGATCAGCAGTGCAAACAGAAGGAAAGCTCTAGGAGAAATGGTTCTAGGGAAAAGATACATATATGGGTAGCATAGAAAAATTAATGGTAGAGTAACTGATAATTGAATAATGGTAAAAATACAAGATATGGAGAAAATAAAGTTTAAAACATCATTAAAACATGTGTGCATATAAATATAAATCGATCTCTGTATTTGCAATGAGCACTATTGACATAGTTAAACCAATACAAATGGATTTCTCTGTGTGTGTGTGTGTGTGTGTGTGTGTGTGTGTGTGTGTGAAGTAATGCAAAAGAAAGCCAAGTTCTCCTCTATCTTAGAAAACCCACAGATAATGCCAAGCTTAGTGTAACAAAAATAATCAATAAACATTTCTATAGATATGTAGGGAGATATCAGATGAAAAAGCTGAAAATGTTAGTAAGCCTGAGATATGGGAACGTCTACCTTTCTTCAGGCTAGTTTTTATAAGCTTTCTTGTACCACCTGACATTTTAAAAAATGTCCATGTATGAGCTTGATTGCATTTTTAATATTTAAATAAAAAATGTGAACAAGAGTAAGGATAAGTTAATATGAGGAAAAAAATCAAAATTAGATTTGTATCCTTTTTTGTTACAAAAAATACTAATTATTCCTTCCTGAGACTGACTTTAATATAATATTTTATCTGCCCTTTGTCATAGTATGAAACATTTATAGGATTTAGAATGATAACACAAAAGTAAAATGCAAAACATATAATCAGTGTGTAGAGTAATGTCTACTAAGTTACACGTAGTACATTCAATTTTACTTACATATAAACATAAAAACAGAATGGTACACTATAGTGAAAATCCACATTTATATATACCTTAGCATGATTTTTATATGAAAAATTTATGATAGTTACTTATTTCTGCCTATTGTATACTACTGTATTAATCTTCAAGTATTAAATATATGAACATTCATTTGTATTATATTTGTTTCTTTGGTTTATTTTATTGCAAAGTATAAAAATTTTTAAAAACTAGACAAATAGTATTGAATATACTGAATATTTTTAAATATTTATATAATTTTAAGAGTCCTGTATATTTAGATTTGGAATAAAGAGGCTAAGGCTGGGTTGTGGATATTTTTAATCATCATAACTTAAATGTAATTGTCTTCTTACATGAGAGACACTTTCTTTCACCCTATAATTAAACTCAGATTTATAATGTTGAATAATTATGTTAAGCTATGCTATGTCTCTTTTCAAAGAAGAAAAGGCACACATGAACTCTTGCAAGAAAAGAGATTCTTGATTTTTAAAATTTATTATCTCTAAAGATTGTAGATAATCTTTAGATTATCTACACTGTCTCCATAAGCATTTTTGGACCTTTTTAATCCAAAGATTACTGGAGATAGTTGTTCCTAAATAAGATAATTCAACTGCTGTCCCTTCACCAAGATAACTAATAACTCATTATATTCAATTATAAGTTATTTATTTTAACGCAGTATATTCTATGACAGGCCATTTATATTTTTAAAAATGTATATAACCTTTTATACCTTACTTTTAATACTAACAAAGGAATTTTTTGATCTGTATATGAAAGCAAATCATCTAGTTTCAAGAACATAATTTAGTCTTATACAATAAAACATCATTGACAGGTATTTTACTCAGAGAAAGACAACTATAATGAAATATAAAAATGAATACATTATACAACAAAATTAATCATCTGAAAAGTTTTAGTCTATAAATAGAGAATACTATTTTGGCTAGCAGTTTGGTAAATTGTAAAGAAAAAAATTAAATGAAGGCTCGGGAAGAAAATAGTCCTTCACCATACATAGTTTAGTCATATTCATGTTACTCTTCTGGAAAAACAGAATTAATTGCAGGGTTAAATGCAATTGTCCTTGTTAGTCTATGGCACCATGTATGATTTCTGCAAAGTAGTATGTTACTATTTGAAGTGTAACTCTCAGCAAGAGTCTCCCGGCTGAAAATCGAATCCATGCTTTTCAATCTACTTCCCACTTCACCACTTGTCAGCACTGAATGTAAGCGACTACTTCTTTACTGAAAGTCAGCCATTTTTCATCTGCATATTCAGTCTCACAGCTCAGGTCACTACCATCTACTACACTTTTACTATTTTCACAGTTCCTAAGGTACTCATATTCCTGCTTTTATAAACACACACACACATACTGTACTCCCCGCACTGCTCCCCCACACACAAGTCACATGGTCTATACTGTACACCACAGGCAATGTGAGGCTGTACAGCCTAATGGTTAAGAGCATAGACTCTACATGACAACTGTTTGGATTCCAATCCTGCCTCCACGATTTGCAAGTGTATCACATTATTTTGAGCAAGCAACATTGCTTTTCTTTGTAAACTATGTATTACAATTACACTTCATAATATGGAAGACTTTTAAATAAATCAATGCATATAAATGACTTACAACTGTGCACATAGTAAATACTCCATAAGGATTAGCTGTAAAATCTCTAAACAACATAAATCATACCACGTCACTCCCCTCTAAAAGCTTTCCAATGGCTTCGTGTAATCATGAGAATTAAAAATTCACACCGGGTCCAGTGGCTCATGCCTGTAATCCCAGCACTTTGGGAGGCCAAGGGGGGGAGGATCACGAAGTCAAGAGTTCAAGACCAGCCTGACCAACATGGTGAAACTCTGTCTCTACTAAAAATACAAAAATTAGCCGGGCATGGTGGCACACGCCTATAATCCCAGCTACTCAGGAGGCTGAGGCAGGAGAATCGCTTGAACCCAGGAGGCGGAGGTTGCAATGAGCTGAGATCACGCCACTTCACTCCAGCCTGGGAGACAGAGCGAGACTCCTTCTCAAAAATAAATAAATAAATAAATCACACTGTTCACCGCCACAGCCTCCAAGGCTCAGCATAGCTTGTTTGGTTCCCACAATCTCCTCCCACTTTACCTCTTGCTACCTGGGTTTCTTTCAGTTTCTCTAATATGCCATGTTTAGTTGTATTTTGCTCTAAGTGGCATTGCTCCTGTTATGCCTTCTCCATGGAATGCTCCTTCTCCCCTCTTTGTTCGGAAGGCATCTACTGCTAGGGATCTGAAAACTTTTTTTTTTTAATTATACTTTAAGTTTTAGGGTACATGTGCACAATGTGCAGGTTTGTTACATATGTATATATGTGCCATGTTGGTGTGCAGCACCCATTAACTCGTCATTTAACATTAGGTATATCTTCTAATGTTATCCCTCCCCCCTGCACCCCACAACAGGCCCCAGTGTGTGATGTTCCCTTTCCTGTGTCCATGTGTTCTCATTGTTCAATTCTCACCTATGAGTGAGAACATGCGGCATTTGGTTTTTTGTCCTTGTGACAGTTTGCTGAGAAGGATGGTTTCCAGCTTCATCCATGTCCCTACAAAGGACATGAACTCATCCTCTTTTATGGCTGCATAGTATTCCATGGTGCATATGTGCCACACTTTCTTAATCCAGTCGATCGTTGTTGGACATTTGGGTTGGTTCCAAGTCTTTGCTATTGTGAATAGTGCCGCAATAAACATACATGTGCATGTGTCTTTATAGCAGCATGATTTATAATCCTTTGGGTATATACCCAGTAATGGGATAGTTGGGTCAAATGGTATTTCCAGTTCTAGATCCCTGAGGAGCTGGAGGCATCACGCTACCTGACTTCAAACTATACTACAAGGCTACAGTAACCAAAACAGCATGGTACTGGTACCAAAACAGAGATATAGACCAATGGAACAGAACAGAGCCCTCAGAAATAATGCCACATATCTACAACTATCTGATCTTTGGCAAACCTGACAGAAACAAGAAATGGGGAAAGGATTCCTGTTTAATAAATGGTGCTGGGAAAGCTGGCTAGCCATATGTAGAAAGCTGAAACTGGATCCCTTCCTTACACCTTATACAAAAATTAATTCAAGATGGATTAAAGACTTACATGTTAGACCTAAAACCATAAAACCCCTAGAAAAAAACCTAGGCAATACCATTCAGGACATAGGCATGGACAAGGACTTCATGTCTAAAACACCAAAAGCAATGGCAACAAAAGCCAAAATTGACAAATGGGATCTAATTAAACTAAGGAGCTTCTGCACAGCAAAAGAAACTACCATCAGAGTGAACAGGCAACCTACAGAATGGGAGAAAATTTTTGCAATCTACTCATCTGACAAAGGGCTAATATCCAGAATCTGCAATGAACTCAAACAAATTTACAAGAAAAAAACAAAGAACCCCATCAAAAAGTGGGCAAAGGATATGAACAGACAAGACACTTCTCAAAAGAAGACATTTATGCAGCCAAAAGACAAAATGAAAAAATGTTCATCATCACTGGCCATCAGAGAAATGCAAATCAAAACCACAATGAGACACCATCTCACACCAGTTAGAATGACGATCATTAAAATGTCAGGAAACAACAGGTGCTGGAGAGGATGTGGAGAAATAGGAACACTTTTACACTGTTGGTGGGACTGTAAACTAGTTCAACCACTGTGGAAGTTAGTGTGTGAAAATTTTTTCTATAAAGGAACAGATGCAAAGATTTTCTAAATTATAGGCCATACAACCTCTGTTCCAACTACTCAACTGTGCTGTGTAGTGCAAAACATCTATAAACAATACATGAATGATGGGTGTGGCTGTGTTTTAACAAAACTTTATTTAGAAAAACAGGCAGTGGGCAAGACTTGACCAGAGGGTTGTATATAATTTGCCTCACCACTCTAATCTATTTCTTCACTGCCAAATTTAAATGTCATCCCTCAGAGAGAACTTTACTGACTGCTATTATTCTAGATCTTAGCCCTGAGATTGATTTTATAGCACTTATCACAGTGTATAATCATTTGATTTATTACCTTGTTTACTGTGCCTTATGAGACCCTTCCATACACAGTGAGCAGTAAGCATTAGCATAATGATTATTGCTTAGAAGGCATGCAATAAATACTTTTTGAATGAATAAGTACTGTTTATTTGACTTTGAAACAAATAAGTAGAACATTGCTGAATGAGCTATACAGATTATCAATTGTGGGAATGTATCTTTTATAAGAAATCTTTGAAATAAGTTCTGTTATAGAACTTAGAAAATTTCTCTCTTGCAGTTTAGAGCTCACGAGATCATGGAATGTTGACAGCCCTTACATTTCTGTCTGTTGCTTAGGGATTGCCTAGGGATTAGAGATAAACATGGCCTCATTTTTGTTGAATATGTATGTTATGAGAATTAGAACTGAACAGGCCATCTGAGGGATAGTATCTTCCTTTAGCATTGTTGATTTCATAGTATATACATGAAAGATATTCATTTCATGGAGAAAATTAAGAAGTCACAGCAATCAAAGCATGCTCCATTTTAGAAAGTTCATGGTATGCTTTAGGGCTAAATATTCACAGCATGTATTTTAAAGATGCAGTTAGGGGCAATGATGCACAAAATTGCAAGTGCAATGAAAATATTATTTTTAGAAATGCAATTGAAACATCCAAAGGAGCTAAAAATAAAAGATCGTACTGCTCAGGTAAAAACGTGTAGCAATGTAATAAGCTCTGTACACATCAGAAGTTACTATTATATTGGAGAAAGTTGTCTTTTATGAAGCTCTTTAGATGTCCCAAGTTCAATAGCCTTTGACCTAGGTAGACAGATCTCATACCTAGGAGACTCAAGATTGTAGATGACATTGGCAAAATGTTAGATGCCAATTTTCATGATTAAATATATTTGTTAAATTTCTGGTGTTATATTTAATATCCCTTGTTAAAATTATTTCAAAATATCAAGACCATTTTTTGAGATACAATTCTTTGCTGCGTTTAAACTTTCTAATTATTTTCCCATATAATAAGTATATGGAAAATAAGCACCTCCATGCTCTCATTGATGGTCAAGATTCCTTGAAACAGTTTCAAAACTCTATGAATCTGATAACCTGAGATATCTTTCTTTGCTTTTCATTTGGGTGTATTGCCCCAGATACATTTGTTTTTTAGTTTATTGATTTTTAAACTATTTTTCTCTGTCTTGAGCCATAAGTATAGCTTACATTATTTTCAAAAGCTTGTGAATTACATTTTCAATAGAAGCAATTACTTTACATCAAGACAAGTGAATGTGAAAATTTTTATAAATTTTAGTCTCTCAAAATAAATGGAAACATGGAGAAATCATTTTGAACACAATATAAACAAATCCGTAGAGAAAAGAAATAACCTAGTTTGTGTTAATATTAGACAGCAATAAAAGGGAAAAAATCTACTCCAACTAAAGCTGAACCTTTTGGTTAAAAGTATCTTCCAATGAAAAATAATTTTCGCAGCTTACCTTCCTATAATTTTTAGATGATAGTAAGTAATTGTAGCTATTGTATAGCAGTTACTACCATTTGAAAAGTCACTTAGTCTAGGAATTATACCCATACAATACTGTTCAAGTAAATTAGTGAGATTCTTTTTCCTTCCATGTAACTAATGTTGAATCTGTATTTAAGCTTTCAGAAACCTAGATACAAACAAGACACATGATATATTATTCAGGTTACAGATTGCATTTATAAAGTAATGTAGTTTACCAAAGTTTTAAAAGTTGTATGTTCCTAGTGAAAGACAGATTAAATATTTCAAATAAACATTTGCCTTTCAGAGTTTAATTTTATTTAAGAATACTTCCAGAAAGTAGTTCCCTTGTTATGCTAGGTCAGCTGAGCATTTCACAGTCATCTCTAACCCATAACCATGCTACAGAGTCTATGTCTTACTGGAGCCTAGAATAGGCATTGGACTAGGCACCTGGAATAGATCAGACACCCTATATATTTGAATACATACATATATGTATGTATATAGATATGTGTGTGTGTATATATGTATTTAAATATATGTGTATATATATTTTTAAATATATGTAAATATATAAACATGCAATTATTACCATCAGTTGTTTCTGGGATTTAGAAATGAAACTATATACAGACATTGACAAGGACCTAAATGATTGCAGGAAGACAGTGAAGAGGGGACTTGAACTGCTCTTTGAAAGATAAGCAGTTAAGGAGGAGAAGTGTGAAGAAGCTGATAGAGCTCTGGTCAGTAAGAAAGGAGCTGGACCTGGCAGAGAAAATAAGAATTTAAAAACGATGTGCAGAACGTGATGTTTTGGTGGAAGAACCTTAAAATGCCAACAAATTAGTAAGATATCTGAGTGATCATTTCTACAGGCCAGAATTTTAACACAACATTTGATACTGGAGTAACTGCAATATGCTAGAGTCACAGAAAGTGCACAAATCTTGAGGAGACTTGAGAGGAAAACTGATGTAGAAGAGAATAGTGCATTGTATTCCATGGTGTATATGTGCCACATTTTCTTAATCCGGTCTATCATTGATGGACATTTGGGTTGGTTCCAAGTCTTCGCTATTGTGAATAGTGCCGCAATAAACATACGTGTGCATGTGCCTTTGTAGCAGCATGGTTTATAATCCTTTGGGTATATACCCAGTAATGGGATCGCTGGGTCAAATGGTATTTCTAGTTCTAGATCCTTGAGGAATCACCACACTGTCTTCCACAATGGTTGAACTAGTTTATAGTCCCACCAACAACTAGTTTACAATCCCACCAGCAACTAGTTTACAGTCCCACCAACAGTGTAAAAGTGTTCCTATTTCTCCACATCCTCTCCAGCACCTGTTGTGCAACATGGCACATGTATACATATGTAACAAACCTGCACGTTGTGCACGTGTACCCTAAAACTTAAAGTATAATAAAAAAAAAAAAAAGAAGAGAATAGTGCAAATGTGCATACACCAATGGGCTGATACAATTTATATTGAGTGTGGTAATCGAGGGTCTCATTCCATCTCTCTGATGTTTGAGAGTTGACAACTTTTTTTTTTTTTTTTTTTTTTTTGAGACGGAGTCTTGCTCTGTCGCCCAGGCTGGAGTGCAGTGGTGCGATCTCCTCTCACTGCAAGCTCCGCCTCCCGGGTTCACGCCATTCTCCTGCCTCACTCTCCTGAGTAGCTGGGACTACAGGTGCCCACCACCACGCCCGGCTAATTTTTTGTATTTTTTAGTAGAGATGGGGTTTCACCGTGTTAGCCAGGATGGTCTTGATCCCCTGACCTCACGATCCGCCCGCCTCAGCCTCCTAAAGTGCTGG